>NC_000001.11:228911394-229062909 GCF_000001405.40 Homo sapiens
GCCAGCTGCTCTCCTGTGGGTCTGCAAGAGCCCAACTGTTGGGAGGTAACTCGTGGGGCCAAGGGGAAGGGGCTTTTGTTTCCTGTTGTCCGAGGGGGTGGGTCTGGGTAGAAGGATGATGTTAAATGTGAGGAAAAGTGCATTAAAAATGCACATGGATTATCCATTGATTTGCTGCTCAGGACCCAATTTCTCTCTGCACAGAACAATTTGATTTATCCTCTGGTCTCCACGGGTTGTGAGCAGCACACGTGTTCCCTGCCAGAGCGATCGTGTACGTGTCTGAAGGACAAAGAGGGGCAGGCTGGCTGTCTACCCTGGGGTCCCAGGCCAAGGTAGGGAGGATCACTAAAATTGTGGGTGATTTTAGAAAAATCGAAGCTACTCTTAACAGCCCAACAACAGTCTCATCTCAAATGAGGCAATTGTCCCAATTTTCTTTGTTTCATTTTGCTGAACAAGCCTGTTTTTATAAACATCAGGAAGATTTAGAAAAGAAAATGAGGGTGGGGAGGGGGAAGAGATGAAACCATTGATTTGAGGGCAAAAGCTCCCCCATTTGTCAGATGAAAAGGCCTTCAGAAATCCCTCTGTGAAAAGGCAGCTCAGCTTCCTGGCTTTCTAGCTCAATCCTGACTCACAAGCAGGGCAAATCCAGGTTTTGAAGAGCCTGATGCTTATAAAATCTGGGGGACACTCGTTAAGAAAAAATAACACAAAATTACAATTACAAAATTGCTGGGGCCTGTTTCAGGGCCTTGGAAAGGGCTCAAATAAGGGAGGGACCCTGAAGGCTTAGCTTTGTTAACTTCATGGTATCATCTTTGCTCACGGAATACTTAGTTTATAAAAGCAGAAAGGTCTATCCTGTGTTGTAAGATACGCAGATGTATATAAAGTAAATGAGTAAACTAGGATGAATTTGAAGATGGAAAACTATGTGCAATGGCAGAAGCCGTGATATACATAAAGTGAGACAGAGCATAAGTAAGGTAACAAATTGACACTCAAGCCCACCCATTTAGAAAACAGTAGAATGCACAAAGAAGTATCAGGGAAAAAAGAAAAAAGACTTTTAGTAGTCAAAATTGATGCACAAAATTCAGTTACTTGATTTTAGCCCAAAGCCTTGGGCCCAATGTGCTCTGGGAAGCATGCACTGAATTTCGGGGTCTATGGGAGCCCTGAGTCTCACGTTGGTTCACTTCTCACCAGCAGTCTGGTCCCTGGTGTTGTGGATTGCAGCCTCTCCCCTCACCCCCTGTCAGTTAACGCCCCCCGAGTACATCCCAGGAGTACATCCCACTCCCAAACACTTCGCACACCTGGCTCTGCTCTCTCTTTTCTCAGGCCATTTACCTCCTTGGTTCAGGCCCTTCTCACATCTTGTCTCAATTATTTAAAGAACTTTCCAACTGGTGTCCAGGTTTCTATCTTGCTCCTACCTCCACATAGCTGCTGCTGCTGCTGGGAATAAAGGGAGGATTTCTAGAGTGGTTGGATGTAATATTCAAACACTTCTCAAGTCATTTTAAAGTGTTAACTTCAACTCTTACACAGTTTGAGTTTTGCCTTTTTAAAAAAAAATCAAAATAAAAAAAACACATTTTCCTAATGCAAATTTTCTGAAATTTTTATTTGAAAGGAAATAAGGCTAATGGGAAATAGCTGATTTAAAAGTGCAAGAGGATAACTTCATATCCATCAGCAAATGAATGGCTAAAAGAATGTGGTATATCCATACAGTGGAATATTATTTAACCTTTCAAAGGAAAGTTTGGAAACATTCCACAATATGGATATTCTACAACCTTGAAAATATTATGCCAAGTGAAATAAGTCAGTCATATAAGAACAAATGCTGTATGATTCTGCTTATAGGAGGTACCTAGAAGAGTCAAATTCATAGAGACAGAAAGTAGAATGGTTTCCAGGGGCTGAGGGGAGGGAGAAATAGTGTTGAACAGGTATAGTTTCTGTTTGAGAAGATAAAAAGAGCACTAGAGCTGAGTACTGGTGACGTTAGAATAACCATGTGAATGCACTGAATGCCACAGAGTACACATTTAAAAATGGTTAAATGTTGAATTTTGTTACATATGTTTATCATAATTTAAAAAATTACAAGACAGATTTGTAGCTATAACTCCTACTGCCTCCAAGCTGAGAGAGACTTTCTCCAAAAGCAGTTCCTTGCAGGCTCAGACCTTTCCAAATACAACATCCTCAAACATGGAAAATTCACAGACATGCACTTTCATCTGGTTTAGGGACATCAAATGTGGTAAACCTGCTTTAAATTGAAAAAAAAAAATCATAAGACTTTTTCTTCCAAATGATTAAGAAGTAACACAACACCAGAATTAGAGTTAGCCGCCAAGGCACACACATAATCCTGAGTAAGGAGCTCCATTTCTGCATGAATAATCCAAGCAGGCCAGCAGGGAAGCCATGTGGCTCCCAGGACGCAGCTGTGGGCTCTGAGATTTGAAAGGCCGGCAGAATAGGCCTTTTTTTGCTGTTAGTGGTGGCAATGTGACCCAGGTCAAGCCATTTAACCTGCCAGGATGGTCACTTCCTTCTCCCCAACCCTAGCTATAAATCTGGGTCAGGGGTAATTGCACCCCATCCTCCAGCTACCCTGGGGAGGGGCCTTGGGGAGGGCTAATGAGAAATGGAGTGGGGAAGGCAGGGAGCTCATTTGTGGGAGGCGTGATACAACACAAGGCATTTTGTAGCACCCAGCAACCTGGGTCTGTTGTGCTCACATCCCATCCTGCTGAATCTGGCCTTTAATAAATAACCACACAAAGACAGGGCAGCTCTAGACTGGAAAGCGTGCTAATGGAAAACCCGCCATCAAGGAATTGGCCGCTCTCTGTGCTAATACTATTCCCCTAGTGAGGCAGCCCAGCTTCAGTGAAGTCAACTCTTACAGCATCAGCAATTCTAAACTCCCTCCTGGGAAACGGCAGTTTTCATATTGCTCAAAATTATAATTTCCACTTAAAATGATGTATTGGTGAGAGACCATTATGAAAACCATCATACATACCTATTTATGACACAACAGCCATTCATATATATTTATATATGATACATAATATACTTTTTAAATGTTAAAAATAAATAGCTTTATAAATAATGTAAAAATATTTACTACTCTGTTGATTTTGGATTTCAACAATCCAAAATCAAAGTTGATTTTTTGATTGTTTTTTATTTTCCTCTCTTTCTTAAAAAAAGTATACAAACATACACATACACACATTGGCTTTTGTTTGTTACTAGCTTGTTCACCTCCAAGGCTGGTGGTAAAAATAAATAAAACCTTCATTATTTCTCCAGCATAGAATGACTACATGTGGAGAATTACATTTAGAATGAGAATCATAAGATTTATTTCAGGATTTATGAGATGATAGAAGCCATTGTGGCCTCCTCATCCCCATGTCACAGATGAGTACATTGAAGTTAAAAGGAAGGAAATGACTTGTCTAAGCACAGTGCACATTTGTGTAGAGCTGGGGTGTAAAGGGGCCCTCTAACCTGTGCCTCGAGCACCTTGTTCTGTGTCCTGTGCACTCTCTACAACTTAGGGGCTGACCAGGCTGTTTTTACACTATTCCAAATCTCATTTTTACCTTTACCCTCAAGCCCCAGCCCCCTCTATACCACTTTTGATCATTTCACCATTGGAGGAAAGGAAAGTGGGAAGTGAGGGCACAGGATAGCTTGAAAAAACAAATATTTGAAACGACTGGTTACGTGGGCCTTAGATTTTAAAGATAACCATCTTACTGCATGCCTCATTATTTTAAGTAATCAAAGTTGGCTCATTTAAGTACCTTATCTATATCTCTAAGATAATGGGAGTTATTGCTCACTGAGCACTGATTAGGTGCCAATTCCAGGCATCAATTTAAGTGTTTATTACTTATCTAATTCTCACAACCACTACCAGGACACAGGTATTACCACTGTCATACCTATTTCACAGATAAGAAAACTGAGGCACTGAGGGGTTAAGTTACTCTTTCTTACTCCACCCCACTGCACTGCCCACCCCACTGGCAATGGCTATTGCTTTCTCTGTCCCCTTTCACCTGCATGATAAACAGTCATTGAGGCCTAAGATATTGGGTGAACTGGGGCAGGCTCTGGGGAGCCAGAGGTGATTTAGGCAGCACTCCCAGTCTCCAAGCTTGGATATTTGTCCCCCACAAATCTCATGTTGAAATGTCATCCCCAGTGTTGGAGGTGGGGCCTGGCAGGAGGTGATGAGATCATGGGGGCAGATTACTGATGAATGGCTGGGGCCATCCTCTTGGTGATAAGTGGGCTCTTGCTCTGAGTTCACACAAGATCTGGTCGTTTAAAAGTGTGTGACACCTGGCTGGGCGCAGTGGCTCACGCCTGTAATCCCAGCAATTTGGGAGGCCGAGGTGGGCAGACCACGAGGTCAGGAGACTGAGACCATCCTGGCTAACACGGTGAAACCCCGTCTCTACTAAAAAATACAAAAAATTAGCCGGGCATGGTGGCAGGTGCCTGTAGTCCCACTTACTCAGGAGACTGAGGCAGGAGAATGGCATGAACCTGGGAGGTGGGGCTTGCAGTGAGCCGAGATCGCGCCACTGCACTCCAGCCTGGGTGAGAGAGCGAGACTCCGTCTCAAAAAAAAAAAAAAAGTGTGTGACACCTCGCCCCACCCCTGACTCTCTCTCACTTGCTCCTGCTGTTGCCATGTGCCGTGCCTGCTCCCTGTTCACCTTCCACCATGACTGTAAGCTTCCTGAGGCCTCCCTAGAAGCCAAGCAGATGCCAGCGCAATGCTTCCTGTAAAGCTTGCAGAAGCATGAGCCAACTAAACCTCTTTTCTTTATAAAGTACCCAGTCTCAGATATTTCTTTATAGCAGTGAAAGAACGGCCTAACGAGGGGCACAGGCACAACCACAGTGGAGATGGTCTGAGAAGGCCTCGCAGCACAGATGCTGAGGGGGATGCAGCGACCTCCTGAAGGGAGGCTGGAGGCAGTTTCCACACAGAAGGTAAGATTTTAACTGGTTATTTAAATGAACTAGAACTTAAATGAACAAGACCTCCCCCACCCCCAGTCAAGAGGTAAAAAGGGCATTTCCAGCACAGGACACGGCAAATGCAAAAGTTCAGAAGTCTGAAGGAATATATTTTTCATTTACGTCCCCCAACACACTTTTAAAAGGCCTCACTCTATTGCTCAGACTGGTCTTGAATTCCTGGGCTCCAGTGGGGATTACAGTGTGAGCCACTGTGCTGGTCCCCAGTACACGTTTATTCTTATGACAGTGACTGTTGCTTTAACAGTGACACTGCAGGGAAGACAGAGGAGGAATGTGTGGTCATTCTCTCTAAATGCAATCTTCTCATAGCTGTCCTGGCCTCCTTTGGCTAGGGAGGTGGAGGGGGCCAGGTAGGGAATATGAAGCAAAGGATGACCATAGAATGGTTTGGTATCTAGCTGCCTCCCCAGAAAGCTTAGCATGAGAGAGAGCATGGGCTGCACCAAGTCAGACTGGTCAAAACTGGATTGAGTTATGTTCATGTTTCTTCACAGTAGTGGGAATGGGCCAAGTTAGAATTTAGGATAGGAAAGTAAGTGGCTATCAGGGAAGACATTGAAAATTTGGAAAGTGAGTCTGGCACAGTGGCTCGCACCTATAATCCCAGAACTTTTGGAGGCCAATGCGGGAGGACTGCTTGAACCCAGGAGTTTGAGACCAACCTGGGCAATGTGGCGAAACCCCATCTCTACAGATTTTATTTTCTTTAAGTTAGTTGGGAGTGGTGACATGCACCTGTGGTCCCAACTATTCAGGAGGCTGAGGTGGGAGGGTTGCTTGAGCCCAGGAGGTTGAGGCTGCAGTGAACCATGATTGCACCACTGCACTCCAGCCTGAGTGACAGACTGAGACCCTGACTCTCAAAAATTTGGAAAGCAATAATGGAAGGGGCCTTCAGCACAGGGACAGTGAGGAAAATGCTTCTTGTGCAGAAAAGAAAATGACCGGTAAGGGGGCTTGTGGCAGAGGAAGTGACTGACAGTGAGGGGCATGCTGGATCTGGACTGTGCTGACACGGCCACGGACACGGATACCAGGGCCTACGAGCGCTGACCTTGAGCTGGGTCTGAAACAGAGACGGCACCTTGAAATGACCACATGCCATCGAAGGTAAGGTAAGGGCAGGCAGGGAGCTGGCCCTGGGGCATGTCCGACAACTCTCCCAGGGGAGTCCTAGAGGACTGCACAGCAGACACAGGTGTGGGTGCCTGAGATGGCCCCACTTCAGGCCAGAACTCTAACCCAGTGGGGGAGCGTCTGTGCTTGTTGCCTCTGACATCTTTTCTCTTCATCTTTGCATTGCCTGCATTTCAATGTATAGAGGATGTATGCCATGGGTCTGTGTCTATCCACAGATGTTTCTAATGGATCCACTCAAATTCTTACATTCCAGTGAACTCATTTGTTAGTGGAGGCAGTTGAATCATTACACCTATTAAAACATGGATTAACCACAGAATAAATGGGTTGGGGTTTGTTCACAGTGGGGGGATCATTGATCATGGGATGACATTCATCAGGATGCATCTGGCATGCGTCTGGGAGGGATCGGGGTTGGGTGGGGCTGGACAGAGCAGGGAGAGATGAAACAAGGGCTTGTTTTTTTTGGAGCAGACAAGGGCCTCTATATGCTACCTTCTAGCAGCTCAGTGGGGAAGGCGATGCTTTCAGTAACCATCCCAGATCCTCCAATGACACCTATTCTGTGCTCGTGTGTGTTTTTCTTCACAGTTCTCCATAAGTGCGGGACGGGTGGTGCAGCGCTGTGTATAATTCAAGCTGCAATTATGAATTTTGGTTGGGCCTCTGCCTGTGATATGAGGCTGACCAAAGAACAAGTCTGTCATTTGTTTCCGGTATGTGTTTAGAAAATAAGCTAGGCTACAAAATCATAGGATTAGCTGAGCTCTTCCTTCCTGGGAGAAAAGTACAGGATAGAGGCTGTGAAGGAAACACAAGGGCAGCCATCCTGGACTCGATACAGGGGGCTGTCACATTGGACTGTTCTGCAAACACCACCAGTGACATTTGACCCAGAGCTGTCAATGCCTGTTGGCTGCTGGCCCCTGCTGATGGGCCCGCTCACTCTTTCAGAAAGGTGTGAAGTGGTGTGGCTGATACAGGCTGGAACACTGACCTGATAAATCTGTCGCTGAAGAATCCCAGGGAACCTTAGGAGAAGTAGGGTTGGGGCAATAGTTCTGCATCTTGTGGAGATGCTCTCCCACTGAATGTTTCTGCTCTATGTGCCCATTAGGAACAGAACTCTTCAGGCTGACTTCAGCCTGGCTGGATGCAGAAATACCCTCAACAGAGATCCCAGAGTATTCAGCCAAGAGCCTGCCTCTCTGTATTACCCATGCCTTTTGTTTTTTGTATTCTGATGCTTTGACATCAGGGGTCTTGCTGACCCTGGAGGGGCTGCCCCTCCCAGGGCCAACCAATCCCTGGAGATAGCAAAGGGCTCACCTGCAAGCTGCAAGCATGCCTTTCCTATGCAAACCAACCGAAGCAGGGCCCAGCCTCTCAGCAGCTCCTCTATGGGGCTTTTACATTCTAGGCCACTGTCCCCTGCCTTCATCACCCCAGGACCAGGTACAGATTAAGAACAGCCCTATGCCCCAGAGCCTGTTGAAATTTATTCAGACTAGCCAATCCTAAGCCTTTTTACCCTGCCTCACACACTTCTCACAAAAACCACAATGAAGGCTCTGGCCCATAGCCCCCTTCCTTCTGCCTTCTGGCCCACCGTGGTGCTTCCCTATATGGCCCACTCGGTGCGATGCAGCCCCTCCTCATGGGAACTGTGAGTAACAAGCTGTCTTTTTCATGGCAGTTGTCTCCTGATCTGTTGGCCCCATCACACCTGAATCATAATAAAACCTATATTATATTTTAATTTGTGTTTTTTTAAATCCTAGACATTTAATCGTACATTTTGCATCTGTTTCCTAAATGACAATACTACACTGCAGAGAATAATAATTATATGTGGTCAGAATGCCTCTTGTTCCATAACGCTAAGCTAATATTGGTAGAATTATTTACTTGAACTCAGGTCTTCAGCACCATGCTGCTAAATTAGAAGTTCCTTGACTCATTAAAAATAACCTCAGTTTAGATTTTCCATTTAATGCAGCAGTTAATTTAGAAGGTCTTAAATGAAATTTGTTTGTGTCTTGAAATTACTGGTTGTTTACATTTTAATTGATACTTTACTGCCATTTACGGTGTTCAGAAAATATGGCCTGTTGAATTTCTGTCTCTAATTCAGTAACAGTTTTTAGTCCTAAAAACTTTCCATTTAACATATTAATACTTTTGTCTGGTATTTGAAAAGAATTCACATCTTCTATTTATTGGTTAAAAATGCTGCCCATTTATTTCTATGATTAATTAGTCAAACTTTCTAATAAAATTATATAACACTCTTTGTGTTCATTTATTTGCTGTACACCAAAACCCATTAAAATGGTTTTTTCTTTGTAATAAAAAATAATTTCAACTTTTATTTTAGATTCAGGGGGTATATGTTCAGGTTTGTTACATTGGATATATTTTGCAATGCTGGGGTTTGGGGTGTGGATGATCTCATTGTCCAGGAAGTGAGCAATTAGCACCCAGTAGGTGGGGTTTCAGCCTTTGCCCCCCTTCCTCTCTCCCCATCTTGTAGTCCCCAGTGTCTAGTGTTCCTATCTTTATGTCCATGTGTACCCAATATTTAGCTCCCACTTATAAGTGAGAACATGAGTATTTAAACCCCCCATTTAAAAACTCTCCCTTCCAGTGCTGCTGGCCAAGTGAGCGGGCACAGGCGGGTAGGCTCCCATGCGGAGCCAGCCTTCCCTGCTCCACCCCTTACCCAGTCTCCCAGCCATGGCTTCTCCCATCAGCCATTTGAGAATGATAAGAAAGGGCACTTCCACATCCGCTGAGAAAATCAGATGAAAACCCGGGGGGAAGCAGTGCCCTCCTCTCTCTCTCCTGCTGGGAAGGGGATGGCTTCATTTGGGTCACTCACACTTGGAGCAGCCTCATGGGTCAGTCTCCTTTCAAAGCAGTGGGAAGGGCAGGGAGAGACCCTGGGGAAGGGACCCATACAGAGATGGGCAGGGAGAGGGAACCCACTGCAATCCTCCTCCGAAAGCCTCCCTCTTCTACTAACCCAGGCAATGCTCAGACTGCTGACTTTGGAAGCTCTTCCAGCAAGTCATAAGTTAAAAATGAATGATGTGATTGCATTAAGAAAAATCTGTACTAAGTATTTTTAAAACCTCTCTGTTAATTCCCTATTTTCTCCCATCCATTCTGAAACTCTTTCTTCACACTCACGACCACTCCCTTGGAGGTGAGATATGTGCCCTTCTCCAACGTGTGGAGGGCAGGTAAGCTGGAGGGCATAACTTACAGCTTAAAAGAATAAAAAAGAACACCAAGGACTCTGGAAGTTTTTAGAGCAGATGTGTTGGTCACATTCCTGTGAGCTGGGGATTGGACATGAGCCATTTGACTGCAACTCCAGGAGGATGCCTTGCTAAACGGCCTCATGCACTTGCTTCAGGAGCAGGGAGAGGCGGAGGGACCCCTGATGCTGTGGGATTGTTTGGCCCTGGGAGGTGGACGTGGCCTTCCTTTGGGTCCACTGTGTGGTTAATGAGATGGAAACTTCTCAATACTTATCCCTTGGGGAGACTGGAAGGAGTTTTCAGTGCAGAGGCAGCCAGGGACAGATGAAAAGTGATGTTTGCTGTGACCCTCTCTATCCTTGCTGTCCTGGGTTCCCCTCCCCCTTAGGAGCCCCCTCCCTGCTCTCCCCCACCTCCATCTCCATCATATTTTGCCTTTAGGTGAGGATGCTGTTGAACCATGAGAAGCCAGTGTGAAAAAGTCATAGCTCTTGGCCTCAGTTACAGAGATAGCCTAATGACAGCCCCCATTGCCCCCTTCCCCAAATGCAGGGTAACCATGAATACTTCGGGAGCCCGCTAGATGCAAACCTGCACTCAGTACTGGAGAGATGGGGAGGAGCAACTCCGGAGTCATGCAGCAAAGACTGGTCCATGGCGAGACAAACAGCCCAGCGCCCAGGGTGTTGTCAGAGCAGTAGGCACCCCAGGACTAGGCCTTCTGAGAAAGGAAGTGGACCATGTTTCCACGGAGGTGCCATGTGACCACATCCTCAAATATTTGAGGTCCAAGGAGGGTAAGAGGAACTTAATTTTTCCTGAGTGTTCTCAAGGTTGAGGCTAAGACCAAGGCCTCAAGTAGGCTTTCCGGTTCAGCAGGAGTGTCTGGAAGAGATTTAGTTCAAACACTGACTCTTCAGACTGATAAGCTCTGCTTCATCCCTGACAACTCAGCGGTGAAAATAGTCTGTAGAAGATATGAAAGCTTCATGAATCTAAGACTGAAAGAGAGCTTAAATGTACATTTCCATATTTTTAAATTACTAGGTTTTTGTGTGTGTGATTACACAACTTATTAAGTGGGTTCACTGAAGGACCTATAAACCCAGCTACCAATGAGCAGGGTTTCAGTGATGATCTCTGTGATTTTATTCTTTGACACAGTCTTGAGAAGTAAACTAATATAAGGCTTTTAATATAGTAAATGCTCAGTAAATTCTTGAAATGGAAGCTATGGACTTATCCCCATCTCACAAGCCAGAAAACCAAAGAAGCAGCATCCTAAACTACAGCTGAAAAAGAACCGGCCGGAATCTCGAACATGGCTGGCCAGCTTTTGACCCCGGGGTAAGGATTGAGATTCTCTGCAATTTGAGATTCTTTGCAAAAAAGCTAGTTTAAAAATTCAAAATGCGCGGGGCGCAGTGGCTCACACCTGTAATCCCAGCACTTTGGGAGGCCGAGGCAGGCGGATCACGAGGTCAGGAAATCGAGACCATCCTGGCCAACATAGTGAAACTCCATCTCTACTAAAATACAAAAATTAGCCGGGCGCTGGGGTGCATCTCTGTAATCCCAACTCTGTAATCCCAGCTACTCAGGAGGCTGAGGCAGGAGAATTCCTTGAACCAGGGAGTCGGAGGTTGCAGTGAGCTGAGATCATGCCACAGCTCTCCAGCCTGGCAACAGAGTGAGACTCCACCTCAAAAAAAAAAAAAAAAAAAAAAATTCAAAATGCTATTGTTGCTGTTTTGCTATTGTTGTTGTTGCTATATTTTAAATATTGTAAGGATAGAAGATTGTAATCATAAAGACAATGTGCTTAAAACGAAGGGAGGAAAAGCCAGGCAGGACCCCAGAAAGACTTTTGCATTAGTCAGAAGTGGCTTTGAATCCTGGCTTTTAAAAATCTGTGTGACCCTGGGTGAGCTATTGAAACTCTTTGTGGTAGATTGTGTGATTGTTAAAATATTTGCTGCCCTTTCCCATGGAGTCATCCCTGGGTAAAGATTATACTCCTTGTGCTGTTGACATGAGGCTTGTCAGGTGACTGTGTTTCTAAAGAGATGACAGTGGAAGTGACATGTGTCCCTTTGGAGTAGAAACTTGGTTCCTCCATCTCTATCATCTGCTGTGAGAAAGGCAGGATATCGCAGAGAAGGGCTGCTCCTTCACCCTGGGTTCTGGGTGGAAGAGGACATGGAGCCAATATGTAGCATGAGTGAGAATAAGTGTCTCTGGCTGTCCATAACCTGAAGCTGGGGGTTATTTGTTAGTGCAACATAACAGAACCCATGCTGACTGATGTGCGCTTAACCTCAGTCTCCTTATCTAAAAAATGAATATAAAAGAATCTGTCAGTGGTGGGAGATGGTGGCGATGATGATGATGGTGATAGTCCTCTTAATAAAAGCTAACATGTTGCAAGCACTTCTGATGTGCCAGTGGCGATTCTAAGTGCTTTCCATGTAGTAGCTCATTTGATTCTCAAACAACAAACCCACTACATGGATACTATTATTATCTGTATCTTGCAGACAGGAAAACAGGCAAACAGAGGCCAACATATGTGAAGTAAATGGATGGTGGTAGGAAATTAATACATGCGGGCATCCTTAATCTTTCTTTACCTGTGACAGTGGTTTTGGTTATTTTTTTTTCTACCACCTGCATCCCCCATTCCCTGTTCTCTGCTCGGGAAAAACTGCATAAGGGTGACTCGCAAAATTGCTGGACGATACACTCCTTCTGGAAGTCCATCGGCTGTGGGCCATGGGGAGATGTCACCTTTTGTGGGTCTGCCCCCACAGTACCCCAGGCCGCACTGGACCTTGCCTGGGGCTGCTGGGCTGAGGCCAGGCATGATGTCTTCCACCCTGGGACTAACTTCTTTAGAGTGAGGAGTTAAAATCTATGAACTTATGCTTAGCACTGTCCCATAGTCCTATAATTTCTCTATTTTTTTTTTTTTTGAGACAGTCTTACTCTGTCACCCAGACTAGAGTGCAGTGGTGCTAATATAGCTCCTCAAACTCCTGGGGTCAAGTGATCCCCTCAGTTTAGCTTCCTGAGTGGCTGGGACTACAGGCTCACACCATCACAACTGGCTAAATATATATATATATATATATTTAGTTCTGTGAGATGGGGTCTTGCTATATTGCCCAGGCCTTGTCTCAAACTCCTGGCCTCCAGCAATCCTCCCACCTTGGCCTCCCAAAGTGTTGAGATTACAGGCATGAGTCATCACACCCAGCCTCCCTAACTTCATAGAGGCCCTATTGTTTCCTGTGGTTCATTTTAATCAAATGAAATTTTCTTATCATAGAGGCAAACTCAAACCATTTGCAAAAAACATAACTTGGGAATTTTGAGTGAGACCTGGGTTAGAAAGAGATTGCCTGTGACTTTTCCTTTGTCACAGCCTAGGGCAGTAGTTAGTACAAGGATCTTTACATAGAACAGCTGCTTCATGTAAACATCACCGAAGCCTGGGGTGAGTTAGAAAGTCATAATTTAAAATGCAGTGATTTCGAGGTTAGATTTCTCCTCCTGAAAAATAATGATAATCACCTCTCACTTCACAGTGCTTTGAAGGCTAAACATTTATAGTCCAATATGACTCACCCATTCTTACAAGGTCCTTTAATGGTGCACGCTACATGGTGCTGCTGGACAGTGTGAGGCACACTCACGTGTGTGTGCTGGCAGATGAAGCCCCTGCTCCTTTAATCATTTTATCTTGTTTGGAAGAAAACACATGTACATTCTGGAAAGTGAAGCAATTTCACTGCCATCTGAGTGACAGAAACTGTAAACATGGGTATAATAATCTCAGGAGGAAAGATGGAACCCCCAGTACCCTAAGGTTTACCTGCGTGAGACTAAGCTGGGTCGTTCTCCACAAACATACTCCTCTTTTGTCTTCCGTGTCTTGGAAAATGACACCTCTATTCAGCAGTCTGAAATTTGGGAGCCCTTCTTGACATTGTTTTCCATCCCCTCTACATCCAATCCACCACCATGTCCTATTTATCCCATTCATTCCACCTTTAAGACATTTCATCCATCTCCTGCTCTCCATTGGGTCCGACCCACCACCTGCTCTCCTTTCACTTATGAAATAGCCTCCTAAAATCTCCTGGCTTCCAAGTCATCCTCTCTTCAGCAGCAAGCAGATCTATAACCCCTATCCAGTCTGGAAGGCCCTGTGTGGTTACAGCAGATGGTTAGTCAGATATGAGCAGAGCAGGAGAGGACCCCCCACAGGAATGTCAGGCAGCCATCAGGTGATGGTCAGGCGGTTGTTAAGCTGTCTCTCTAAAATAGACACACCTGAAGCTGGTGATTGGCAGCTTCCTGATAAGATTGCAGGAGTTGGGCAAGTAGACTCAAGCACATGCACTAAGAGGCAAAATGGTGGAGTTTAACTAGTCTATGACCTTCCTCTAGGAACACTCAACTACTAAGGGGAAAATGCCTCAAGGGAGCATGTGCACAGCTTCAGTGAACACTCTGTGCACGGGGCCCCTCCCAAGTGCTGGCAGGCCACACTCCTGTGGATAGCCCACCCCAAGGGAAGAATCCAAGGAGAAGGGAGCAATCCCCCAGAAGCAGGCCAATGTATAAAACTCCAAGTCAAAGGTCAAACAGCGCACTTGAATCTCTCAAGTCACCCACTTAGCCCTCTTCCAAGTGTATTTTACTTCCTTTCATTCCTGCTCTGAAACTTTTTGATAAACTTTCACTCCTGCTCTAAAACTTGCCTCAGACGCTCCCTCTGCCTTAGGTCCCTCAGTTGAATTCTTTCTTCTGAGGAGGCAAGAATTTAAGTTGCTGAAGGCTTGTATGGATTCGCTGCTGCTAACACAACCCTGCTTCTTTCTCCAGTGTCACCTTTTGTCCTTCTTTCCTTAATAGATGACACTCCAGCCCCTCGGGTTTGTATCAGTTCCTCCCATAGGCCAAGGGCTTCCCCACCGTGGTGCCCTGCACATCCCTTCTGTTAGTCCTTCCCTGGCCAACTTCTGCTCATCCTCCATGTGTCAGCCCAAAAGTCACTTCCTCAAAAAAGTTTTCCCTAATCATAACCCCCCATCAAAATCTGATTCTCCTAACATAATATTTTGTTTTCATAATTTGTGATTATTTCTTTATGGAATACTTAGTATTTGCTCAATATCACCCTACCACCCTAGACTTTATGTCACAGGACCAAAGCCATAGCTCATTGTTCATCACTATATTCACAGTGAAAGCATAGTTTTTAAGAAGGAGCTGTGTGTGAGTGAGAAGGTAGGTGTTTTCCTACCCTGTAGGTAAGGGAGCAGTCCTGAGGCTTGTGAGGAGGGAAAAGGCATGGTGAAAGGACACCATAAAAACACTATTTAGAGCCGGGGAAGTCGTCTGCACTTGTAGTTCCAGCTATTTGAGAGGCTGAGGCAGGAGGATTGCTTGGACTCAGGTGTTCAAGATTAGCCTGGGCAACATAGTGAGACTCCATCTCAAAAACAAAGAAACAAACCCAAGAACAAAATAGACTATTTAGGTGAGCTGTGTTGACATGATAGAGATTTAGGCCAGTTGGGAAGCTGTTGTAGTTTTGACAAGTGGGAAGGAAGACGGGGCATGTTTCATGTGTGTTGACTGAAGACAACAGTGAGTTATTCAAGGGTAGATGTCCCAGACACAAGACAAATGGGAATTTAAGCATGCAAAAGAAAACAAAATGGAAGATACAGGATTTAAAAAGTCACTCTAAGGTTCAATGTTCTCACGAGTAGAATCTTTCCTAATACCATTAAAGGTAACCTTCCTGTTACTTTGGTTTTCCTTTAAAATTTCACTTCATATTCCTCAAATGGTGGTAGCCTCTGCATGACACCAGTGAAAACACATGGCCAAGAGAAAGAACCATGGTGATTCCACTTGGTAAGCTGTCTGGCAGTGCAGCAAGATATCAGTTGGATCTAGGAAGTAGCAGCGCTCTTCCAATGGGTAGACATTTCTTACATCTCATTTGGTGTGCTCTGTGAATTCCTCCTTCTCTAAGCATCCCCTTTTCTGTGACGTCTCCCTGACCCCTGTGGACATGGTGGATATCCCTTCCTTGGTGCCCAGGCATGGAGGCAGTGTCCCCAGCGGTGACATCTCCCTGACCCCTGTGGACATGGTAGATGTCCCTTCATCGGTGCCCAGGCATGGAGGCAGTGTCCCCAGTGGTGACGTCTCCCTGGCTCCTGTGCACATGGTGGATGTCCCTTCCTCGGTGCCCAGGCATGGAGGCAGTGTCCCCAGGGGAGCAGCCGCCTCACTCCATTGTACCATCCCCTCTTCTGGCAGCTATACCTGGGTTCTCGCCCATATTGATTATGGCCTTAGTGATAACCCTCTGGTTCTCAGTCCCGTGTCCACCTACTCAGGCTAAGTGACTCCTTTCCTGTGGTCCTAGAGAAGTAAAATCCTTTCCGTTTGGGCCCCAGCACTGACTATTTGGCTTACAGTCAAAAAGACTCTCCACAAACTCCCCACCCCACCCCCACCCCACCTCCTGGTCTGCTGGGAATTTATGTTCTCAGCATCCGGGATGATCAGTGTCTCCCTCCCCTGCCTCTTTCCCATCTTTTCCCCTTGCCCTTGTCTTGGTTAGGAGCCCTCATTTTCTCAGCCACTCCTTTTCCTGGCTGCCCAGTTGCTCACGCTTATTGTCCCTTCCTTCCCAGACGCTGTTCACAATGTACTTCCCAACTTCTGTCATGTTTGGTGGAGTGCATTTGCACATGTAAAGAGCCCTTATGTTTTCCAGAGACATTCATGTGAATTTCCAATGATATTTTAAAACACTTGTGAACACTCTTTGCATTTTATCCCGGAAATTTCCCACATTGTTTTATCTTCCATTCTACAGAAATCACTTTCAAAGAGAAGGAAGAAATGGAAAGAAAGCAAACATTTTATATGGTCACTCTACTAGATACATTTATTTATTCATTCAACAAATATGTATTGAGCTCCTAGTGTGTGCCAGGCTCTATTCTAAAGGCCGAAAACATAACTGTACACAAGATAGGCAATGTGCCTGCTGCTACAGTGTTTGTGCTTTATTGGGGAGAGGCAGACACCAGGGACATTTATAAACATATAATACATCATGCAGTGGCAAGTGCCATGAGTAATATAAAGCAAAGAGGTAGGGAAAGGGAGGATAAGAAGGCAGCCCTATGAAGGCCACACTTGAGCAGAAAGCTGGGGGAAGAGAGGGAGCCCGGTGGACACGTGAGGGGAGACGCTGTGGAGAGAGCAGTCTGTGCTAAGGGCCCTCATGAAGCAGAATGGCCAGACCACACAGAGGGAGGCCATGGCCAAGGGAAGGAGAGAGGTGGAAAGCTTAAGAGGTAAGAGGCTGCAAGCATCTAATCCTGCGGGGCTTTGCAGTTCATGGTGTCGACCTTAGCTTTTACTCTGAGTCAGACTGAAAACCATTTGAGGGTTTTTGACAAGTTGGTGACAAAATCCTGGTTTTAAAGAGCCTCCTGGCTGTAGTATGAAGAGAGACTGCAGATGTGGGAGTGGGGCCTTTGAGGAGGTGATTGCAACAACCCAGCAAAGAGATGACAGCGACTTGGGGAGGCCTAGTGTATGAGATGGCCAGATTTCTCCTATTGTCCTGTGATGAAATACAGATTTGTAGTGAGGATTATTATCATTATCATGAAGAAAGGGAG
Source organism: Homo sapiens (assembly GCF_000001405.40). NCBI lineage: Eukaryota > Metazoa > Chordata > Mammalia > Primates > Hominidae > Homo > Homo sapiens. The sequence continues at coordinate 228,928,628 of NC_000001.11, forward strand.
GCTGAGAGAGGTAAAGTGTCTTGTGCAAAGTCACTCCACTGCTGTGAGAATCCCACTTATAAGGACACGCTTTCACTCTGACATGTGCTTTCAGGAAGCACGTTGCCCAGGGACTCTCCCTCCTCGTCTCCCTCAGGCCTGCCTCTGGGGTTCTAGAATCAATTCTGAGGAAAGCTCTGGAGCCTGAGCACAGACTAGCGTTGTGGGCTCCCAGCTGAGGGTCTCCAGGACAGAAGTAAGCTAGGGGGTGATTCTGCGCTGCTCAGAAGTCGCTGCTCATCCTTAAGCAGCAACCACCCAGCTGGTGCCCTGAGGAAGGGAGGTTTGGTAGCAATGAGGGAGTTAATTTTTAATCAGCGGAAAAAAATCACTGAGGTAACACAACCAAAACATTGGTAATTTTCTGCATGAAGTCAGGAGAATCTAGAAAGAGCCCCAGCCTCTAGCAGTGGGGAGAAAACAGGGTTCCAGGCAGCTGCCCCTCCTTGACATGAGTCAGTGCAGGATGGGTGGCTGATGAAGACTCCACCTGAAAGACGTTGGTAATTACTGCCTCCAAAGTTGTCCATCTGCCGGTGTGGATCAGAGTGGGGTGTGGAATTAGGAAAGGACCCCAGGGACAAGAGGCCAGAAATAAAGAATACTTGGAAAGGTAGGGACAGGGAGCTTTCTTTCAGCCCATCTGGCTAAGAGCCACTAGTGCCATTAAGGAGAGATGAAAAGTAATTCATCTGTGGGATATATGTAGCTTTTGTATGTATAATTTATACTTAATGTTGAACAAATGGTACCTATTTCATCTCTTAGCATGGTTCAGGGACTCACAATAAGCCTTTCTTGTTTATATATCTTACTGAATTAAATGCAAAACATCTATCTCACAAAGAACTTGGATCTAGGATATGTGAAGAATTCTTAAGACTCAATTACAAGAAGACAAATAAACCAACTTTAAAAAAATGGGCCAAAGGTTTGAACACACTCTCCTCACCAAAGAAGATAAATGAAAGGCAAAATAAACACATTAAAAGATGCTCAACATCATTAGTCATTAGAGAAATGCAAACGAAAATCACATTGAGATACCACCACACACCTAGTAGTGGTAACACTTTAGAAATGGACGATACCATGTGTTGACAAGTGGGTGGAGGAACTGGAACTCTTCTACGCTGCTGCTAACAATGTAAAATAGTACAACTACTTTGGAAAATAGTCTGACAGTTTCTGCAAAGCTAAATATACAGCCATTCCACTTCTAGGTATTTACTCAAGAGAAATAAAAGCATCTGTCCACACGTATACAAATGTTCATAGCAGCTTTATGGTAATGGCCCAAAATGGAAAACAATCCAAATGTCCCTCAACAGGCAAATGAATAAGCAAATTATGGCATTTCCACAAAATGGAATGACACTCAGAGATGAAAGGAATACACTATTGATACAGACAACAGTATGGGCAGATTTCAAAGTAATTATGCTAAATGGAAAAAAAAGCCAGACAAAAATAACACATACTGTATGATTTCATTTATATAAAATTCTAGAAAATGCAAACTAAGCCATAGAGACAGAAAACGTATCAATGATTGCTGGGAAGGGATGGGAGGTTGGGCTTGTGTGGGGGAAGGGGGAGCAAGGTGGGCTTACAAAGGACATGGGGAAACTTGGAAATGATGGAGGCGTTTGTTATTTTGATTGTGATGACAGTTTCACACATGTACACCAATATCAAAATTCATCAAATTGGGCACTTTAAATATGTGCTGTTCATTTTATCCTAGCTATACATGAATAAAGTTGTTTTTTAAAAAGCATGTATAAAATCTGGGGCGAATGAAGTAAACAGGTATTTGTCTTCAAAGTTTCACATCCCAGATGAGTGAGTGGCCCCATTAAGCCGCACCCCACAGGATGGCATCTGAGCAGGGCCATTTCTTCTGGGACTGCCCATACCACATTCCCCAAATGCTCTGGCATTTTAACACTTCCATCAATCATCTCAAGCTCGGGTTTCCAAGTACCGTGTGGCTGTGGTGTCCCTGTCTGCTGCGGTGCAAACAGGGCTGGAGACTTCCACACCTGGTCTTTACGAATGTGTGTTTTCTGTGTTCAGTTCCTTCACCACGAGGATTTCCAGCTGAGTCACGGGTTTATCAGTAGTGAGAAGTACACATTCAGGCGAAAGTGTCTGGAGTTAGAGGCAGCAGGAATTCAGCTCTTACAGGCTATCTCTATAAATGTTCCACGTTCATATAGTGAAGTGTGCAGAAAAGAACAGTTGCCCAGGAGGTTTACACCGTGTAGGTTTGCTCATAAAAGAAAATTGCTAGGAGAGCAGAGGGCAAGGGCAGCTCCAGTCCCGCAGCTCTGCCCATTATTGCTGCACAAGAAGTAAATTCCTTTACTTTCTTAAGCCTCAGTTCCTCCATTTGCAAAATAACCATTGTGATATCTTGCAGAGTTGTTGGAAGGATCCAAAAGAAAATGGTTACAAAAGCTTTTTTTTTTTTTGAAGTAACCGTTCTTTACAAATGTTAGGTATATCCAAGTTTGACTTAAGGGGAGTGTATTAGTTTGCCAGGACTGCCCTAACAAAGTGCCACAGACTGAGTGGTGTGAACAACAGAAATCTATTTTCTCACAGTGCTGGAGGCTGGAAATCGATGTCTTGCAGACAGCCGTCATCTCCCTGTGTCCTCACGTGGTCTTCCCTCTGTGTGTGTCTGTGTCCTCATCTCCTTTTCTTTTAAGGGAACCAGTCATATGGGATTAGGGGTCACCCAAATGACTTCATTTTAGCTCAATCACCTCTATAAAGGTGACTGAACTCTATCTCCAAATACATTCACATTCTGAGGTCCCAGGGGTTAGATCAATGTGTGAATGTTGGGGAGACACAACTCAGCCCACAGCAGGGAGATTGGTGTGGGTGACGGGCATCTGATCACCATATTTTTTCCCCAATTATATTGGAAAATGGACAGTATCAAGTATAGCAGAGCCAGTACGGTGTGCCAAAGGTGATGAGGCCCTCATCATCACATTTCGCTCGCTGGATTTCGATTTCTATTTTGTCCCTTTGCCCTTTTCTGTGGATGGCGACCAAATCAATGGTGGAGGTCAGATGTAAGTCTAGGAAACCACCTATAAGGACACTTTCTACTAAGTAGTCCCTGAGTCCCTGGAGACTTGTCCCCCTTTCCTGTCACTCTCCTCTTCACACAGACCACTCCTCCTGAAGAGGATCAGGTAGTGATGCTGTGGCTGCTGTGGGCAGAAGTTGAGGTGAGATCCAGGGGCTGCTGTGGGCAAAAGTTGGGGTGAGATGCAGGTGCAGAGCTGTTAACATTATCTTGGAGAAAATTAGTGTTATGCAAACCAAAAAGTGACTTTATTTGTTGGACTGTTTTTAGCTTCAAGGGACAATGAGTGATTTAGAATGGGGCTATTCCCATGTGGTCGTTGCCCATGGAAAGAATGCTGTGGAATATCTGTTTGTCCACTGGCATTTGCTACAACTTAGCATGGCATCTCCAGATGAGATAGGCAGAGAAAAGCCGGACAAGGGCCAGCCTAGTGACCCTCTTGGGTAAGTGCTCCTGATCACATGTGCAAAATAATGTTTGGGGTGTATTGGAGAGTTGAAAACCAGTGAGCTCTTTCCTGGACTTGTCTACTAAGAGCTTTTCATTTTCTCTTGTAGCAAACTAAATTGAAGTCCTGGAGGAAGATCCTGAGCCATGGGAGGGCAGCTCCACATGCCACAGAGCAAACGAGGCAGCTTCACCTCTGCTCTGCTCATACCGTGCTGGTGCTCACCCCTTCTGATGGGAAGGGTGACAACAAAGTCAGCGGGCATCTGTGGATCAGTTCAGACACAGCCCCCTGCTTTCCTGGCAGGGGCCAGGTGCACATCAGATACCTGTATTGCGTATGTCGGAATGGACACCAACTTCCTCTGGGTACATCCCTAATCACCAGCAATAACCCTGAATCATTTATCACAAAGGCCTGCTGCCAAAGCCCTTCGAGACCCCAGTGAACTGCTGTTGGCTTTCCCTTCTGAGATTTTGCTGGTACATCACAGTGAGCCATCACTACTATTTGTTTTCTCAACTTATTACACTAGTGTGCCAGCACATGAGACACTAGAAATTTAGTGCAGAAGTCTGTGCCTTTTTCGAGTGTATGTGTGGGCATTTTTCTGGGGAGGGATTTATCAGATTATGCTTGGCCAAAAGTGCCAAGTATGAGATGCCAATTACTCATTCCACTGTCCCATATAGAACAGAACTAACACAAATTGATAGTGGGAGATGTGGGGGATCTTGGTGGTTATCTCAAGAATCAACCACAGCATCTAGTGCTGAGCCTTCATAATTATACTTATCATCAACCTGAAGATTTTTTTATAATAAACTAATACACCCCTGTATTTGTTTCCCAAGGCTGCTACTAACAATGTACCCCAAACAGAGTGGCTTAAACAGAAATGTATGGTCTCAGAGCTCTGGAGGCTGGAAGTTCAAGGTCAAAGTCTTGGCAGGGTTGGTGTCTTCTGAGGACCGTGAATGAGAATCTGTTCTAGGCCATTCTCCTGGCTTCTAGTAGCCTCAGGCATTCACTCCTTGGCTTATAGATGGCATTTGCCCCATGTCTTCACAAGCCTTCCCTCTGTACAGGTTGGCTTCCAAATTTCCCTGTTACATAAGAACACCAGTCATACTGGATTAGGGTCTACCCTAATGACCTAATCTTAACTTGATCATCTGCAAAGACCCTATTCCTAAAGAAGGTCATATCTACAGGTGCTTGGGGTTAGAACAGCTTTTGGGCAGACACAGTTCAATCCATAACAGCCCTTCAGAATCACCACCATCAACTCAGTGCTTATTCAAGAGCCAGGGTGCAACATTGAATGCTGTTGGGCTGAACCATCTGCCCCAGAGACCCCAGGTCATGCAGGGCAGTCTCTACTGCATATTCCAAAGGTGTTCCTGGCCAGTCTGTTGCTGCTGATTCAATCACATGATTTACCATTTAAACCTCAGACTGGACTGATTTTGAAGGTGCGTGGAGAATTCAGTGGAGGGATCTCCTAAAGAAGTCAGGCTGCCAGGGAGTTCCTAGCCCTTAGGAGAAAGATACTTGGCAATTCCAGGAGGTTGAAAAGCTCTCCCTCTATCCTTGTTTATGAACTTTCACTCCCACCATTCCCTCACTCCACCTGGAGCACTCCTCTCCACCCCCTTTCTCCCTGTGGCCCACTCCAATCTCTTTCAACACCCAGAGCTCACCCTGCCTTCCCTTTTCTTTCCACGTTTACAAACTGGAAGTGCCGTTGAGTCTTCACTGGACTCTGGACCTCTTGCATGGAATGCTTACTTTCACTCCTGTCTTCCAGCCCTTCCTGAATCCCAGCCTACTGGAGAATGGGGTTGGAGTCTTCTTCAAGGACCTTTTCTCCCCAGACGCCCTGCAATGCCTGGCAGGGTGCTTTATGTGCAGAAGGGCTACATATCCTGGAAAGTGGGCTTGAAGCTTCAGGTGGAGCCCTGGAATTGATTGTGCCATTCCAGGAAACTTCCCACAAGCAGCCCAAGACCCTGATTGTCTACAGAAAATCATACAGACACCTTAATCCAGAGTTCTTTTTACCTTCAGGACTACTGCCAAGGTGGGCCTCCTGTGGGAGAAAAGGCTTCTGTCAAAATAGCTCCAAGTGTCCTGGTTCCACCTGAAACCTCCATTGCCACATTGCAGTGACGGGCCTGTCATTTGCAAAGTGCAGGCCACCAAAACTAGTTTCTGGCAGCAAATTGGCATGTACATATAACAGTTAGGTCTAAGGGCTCTGCAGACAGGATATTTATGAGTGGCGCCTTCACCACACTTTAAAGAAAATGGTCTAGTTGAAAAAATGATATAGACACATTCTCCCAAAGTTACTGACATTGACAGTCTTTCATGCCACTACTTGCTCTTCCTCCTCTGCTGGGTGTCCCCTCCACTTAGCCTGGCAGACTCCTCAGCCTTTAAGAACCATTGCAACCATAAAAATAATGAAATCATGTCCTTTGCAGCAACATGGATGCAGCTGCAGGCCATTATCCTACGCGAATTAACGTAGGAACAGAAAATCAAATACCGCCATTCTCACAAGTGGGAACTAAACATTGCGTACTCATGGATATAAAGATGGGAATAGACACTAGGGACTACTAGAGGGGGCAGAAAGGGAGGGAGGAGAGAAGGGTTGAACAAACTACTGGGTACTGTTTTCACTACCTGGCTGACAGGATCATTCGTATCCCAAACCTCAGCATCATGCAATATGCCCACCATGTAAACAAGCCTACACATGCACCACCCCCCCCCCGAATCTAAAGTAAAGTTGTAATTACAAAATAAATCAATAAATAAGTTAATAAATGAAAGGACCATCACATTGTTTTTCCTACAAGCAGCCTTCCCTGGTCCCCTCACAAGCACATCCTCTCCCTCAACGCTAGTCAAGGAACTCTTTCCACCAATGGGTTCCTGCAGCACTTTGTGAGGACTCAGTTAACACACTGTGGGGCTGCTTTTTCTGGCTTTCTTTCTGTGTCGCCACCAGCTTGAGGACAGAACACTGCTTTACTTCTGTCCCTGCCTCCCTGGGCAGGTTCTGGTGGTAAGGGCTGTTTTGTTTACTTTAAATCACCCCAGGCCTCTCTTGCCAAAGGTCAAGATTCAGTAGTCATATTCTATTAAAGTACAGACAGGACTTTGGACCAAAGGCAGAGATGTCACAGTGATCAGTGCCCACCAAGAGGACAACACTCCAGGCTCAGATGAGTCACAGCCAGCCACGCCTGAGGGCTGTGAGGAGGCAGACCTGGACCACCATGGACCAAAGGTCAGCCTAAAGCGAACTCACTTGCAAAGACAGGCAGATGACAAGGTCAAGCAAATGACCGGAAGTGGCTCTAGAGTAGTGGTCCCCAAGGGCCAAGCCATTTTACTATTGCCAAAATGCCCTTTATTTGAATAACTGCAGGTGACTGCAGTAGGGACAATTGTCTATTTTAATACCAGTCTTTGGAAAAATAGAAAACCGGCCACCCCGTGAAGTGTACAAGACTGAAAGCCCTGCTGCAGAGGAGGCACTTCTCATCGACTTACCGGCTGCCTCTTCCCACTGCAGTACTGATGAGGGAGGTAGCTAGCCAGGCATGAGCAGGGCAGGAGGGGCTCTCCCAACACACACACCAGGAATGTCAGACAACCATCAGGTGATGATCAGGTTGTTGTTAACTGTCTCTCTAAAATAATAATTGGGCACAGCCAGCACCAGGGAAAGGCAGTCTCCCAATAAACAGAAAACACCTGAAGCTGGTGATCAGCTGCTTCCCGATAAGGTTGCAGGGGATTGGGTGAGTGGGCTCAAGCATGCGCACTAAGAGGCAAAATGGAGGCGTTTAGCTGGCATATGACCTTCCTCTAGGAATGCCAGATTGGTAAGGGAAGAACGCCTCAAGTGAGCATGTGTACAACTCCAGTAAACACACTGTGCATGCCCCGCTCTCAAGCACCGTTACTGCGCATGGGAACAGCCCACCCGAACAGCCCACCCCAAGGGAAGAATCAGAGGAGAAGTAATGCAAGACCCTGGAAGCGTGCCAACATATAAACCCCAAATCAAAGGTCAAACCCTGCACTCGACCTCACAAGTTGCCTGCTTGGCTGTCTTCCAAGTGTACTTTACTTCCTTTCACTTCTGTTCTAAAACTTGCCTTGGTCTTTTCTTCTGCCTTATGCCCCTCAGTCGAATTTTTTCTTCTGAGGAGGCAAGAATGGAGGTTGCTGCAGACCTGCGCAAGTTGCCTCTACTAATGACATGTCACCAGAGCGTGTGAGCAGGGTGCTGGGCTGGGCTCTGGCCACCCCAAGTGCTCTAGGACAGCCCCTGCCTGCAAGGACTTACAGCTAAATTGGGACATGGGAACAGATGTAGACCTGTGGGCCCAATATAGGGTGCTGGGTGCCCCTCTGAAAGTGCGGCCCCAACAACACATCCTCGGGTCAAGGCACACAAGGCCTCTGGGTCCCCACTTCCACTCCACCAGGCAGATTCTACTTTTTTTTTTTTTTTAATGTACTGGGGCTCTGCTCATGGTTTATTTTAAAGAAAAGTTTCTGCTGCTTTAAAAAAAAAAATTGAAAACCCTGAAAACTGTCCCTCTGGCCTGAGCTCATTTCCTGGGTGAGGAAACAGAGGCCCCGAGAAGCCTGAGGACTGTCCAGCATCCCATGGCTGGGTGGCTGGTAGATGGCCAGCCCGGGCAGAGCCTGGTCTCTCGGTGATTTTCACTGTCTCTCTCCATTTGTGTCATATCTGTGTCCTCTCCATTTGCAGCAGGGACTTACACCTCCTTTTCACCTGCACCAATGCCAGGATGGAGATTTGCTTATGCCCCTTGGCCCTGCAGGCAGCCCAGCGACTCACAAAGTCTCAGGACCCTACTGCAGGGGTCCCCAACCCCCAGGGCCACAGACCTGTGCCAGTCCCCAACCACCCTGGGCATGCCCTGCAGAGGTACCAAGCCCGGGGCTGGAAGGGCGGGGATGAAGATTATGGATGCCATCTGAATCTTTTCAAATTCAACACATTTTTTTGGACACCAAAGCACTTTTTGTACATTTAAAAAAAATTACTCTAAACACTAAACCTGGAAGTTGTTTTCTGAAGAAGGTGAGGGGAGAGCACCTCCCCCAGGCAACCTAGATCCCTCGCATGCACAGTTCCCAACACGGAGTCTTGTGGAAGGGAGCGCTCAGTAAGATGTCATTTAGCTTAAAGACTGTGGATGCCTGAGCATGCCGCGTTTCCCGCAGCCGTGCTTCTTGCTTGGTGCTCAGTCTTGGCAAAGTCATCTCCGGCCCTACGTTCTCAGGTGTGAACGGTGGAGTCAGGGGTGCTGAGGGTCATGCTCACTCACCAACTACCCTGCACCAGCACCCTCCCCCCTGCACTGGTTTTCTGTGCTCTCGTTTGGTGTCCCCAAAATCTTGAGGCCTGTAGGATTATCACCACTACACAGAAGAGGAAACCGAGGGTTAGAGAGGTGGTCTGAATGTCTAAGAAGGGAGATCCAGGATTGGAACCCAGATTTGTACAACTCCAAAGCTCTCTTGTGACCTGTGCCGCCTCCCAAGGGGTGAGCAATCGTGCCTCCCTTTCCTCTGCTCAGCCACCCTGCAGCTCACACAGCTGCAGTAATGACTGCTCTCGAGAGAGCTGCCCCACCCAGAGGGGTTTAAGGCAGAGAAGAGCGGCCTGCAGCCTAGTTTCTCTCAGTGTGCCTTACAGCCAAAGCCAAAGACTGAGGCCGACTCCCAGGACAGGGCCGCTACCCTGGCCTCAACACCACAAATGACTGGACGCAGCTGCTGGCAGAAAAAGCCGCACTCCAGGCATTTAGTACCTAACCGAAGAAATCCAAAGATTCTTATCTGTGCCTTGCTTCTCAACTGCAGAGGTTCTTCCCTTTTGTCCTAACACACTGGGAGGGAACTCTGCACTGATGACAAGTAACCATGAACGTGATTCCTTTCCCTCCTGCGGTGGTCATCTTCAGCAACTCTAGCCGTGAAGCCAGCCTGCCTGTCTCTTTCTTTGCTTGTGTTGGGTCATATTACTGAAGAAAGAATAATAGCAACACTGTTACCCGCCTGTGTACCAGTCTTTGTTCACGGGAGGTTTTAGGATCTCTATGACACACGCAGGCAGAGCATGCCACCGTCACTTAGGAGGGGAAGCCAGAGGTCTTGGAAGTCACACACTAGCAGGGAAGAGACCTAGGTTTTCCCATGGCTCACTGCAGCCTCCCTGAACTCTTTTTCCACAGATGCTAGGCTGACACTCCCTTGTCCCCCTCTAGAGCTCTGTGAACAGGAAGAGGTTGTCTTCTAGCTGTGTAGAGGCTGGGGGAACAGCCCACAGTGCAAGCCACGACTACCTGCTCTGAAGTGGAGGGGCTGTGGAGCAGACAGCAGACTTCTCCCAGCTGAGCAGAGCTGGGCAAAACAGATCGATCTAAACCGCCCTTAGCGGATGTTCTCATTTCCCTGCTGCCCTAAAAGTGGTGTCCGCCTGAGGTGAACACTATAAATAACTGTTCACAGGCGGGTTGTTAAGGACTCTATGGCCTGTGTTGGCAGAGACAGATTCCGGGAAGTCAGTGACTTGGTCACTTCCTACTTAAAACGCAGGGCACCAAGGAGCCTATTTTGGGCTAAATGCAAAAGCCTGGGAATCAAAGAAGAAACGTTAGAGGAGAGACCGACCTCTTGCTTTTAGCCACAGTTTGGAAAAGTTTTTTGTTGTTCTCAATAGTTCGATGGAAAGTGGTAAAAATGCTTTAATTAATTATTAACCTTGGTATTTTTCTTCATAGTTCTCAACATGCTTCACACACCTTTCCTTCTTTGAGCCTCAAAGCAACACTGTGAGTAATCTTATTGTTGTGAACCCATTTTACAGGTGAGAAGACAGAGGCAATAAACATAAGGGCTGGGCCTCACACCTGGATCTGCTGCTCCCTAGCCCCTAGTTATTCCTTCGCCTCACACCCAAGGCCATGATCTCACTAAAAAGAAACACCTTTAAGAGCAGGCACCCCTGCCTGATTCAGTCAGCAGTAAGCCATCAGCAGATCTTGCCCAGTTATAGCCTGGTCCACCTGTTTGTAATAAGCATAGTGAGAAGGACAGAATCACAGCTAGGTGGTTGGCAGGTTGAGTTGAGACTGACCACAGGGTGTGTTTGGTTTCTGGATGGGGCTGGGGTCCTTCTGAGCGTGAGACAATAGATGACACTCAGCCACAGGAGGCTGGGCCCAGCAGGGCCTCCGGCCTCAAAGCAGCGGGGTAGCAGCTCTGAAGTCAGAAGTTGAGGCTGCAGTCTTGAGGCAGAATTTCTTCTGTGGGACACCTCAGTTTTTGCTCTTAGGGGGATCAACGGAATGAGGCCCATCCACATGATCAGGGGCAATCTCTTGAAAATCAGCTTATTGTACATGTGACCCACACCACAAATACCTCCACAGCAACGTCCACATTAGTGTTTATTAAATAACCGGGTCCTATAGCCTAGCCAAGCTGATGCATGAAACTCACCATCACATCCTGTATCCATCTACAGCTTTCTAGGGCACTGTGGTAGCCCAGGTGAGGCGTTGTGCTCTAAACTCAATTCTCTGGAACAAAACTGCTGGGCCACTTTTTTGTTAGTTCCTGTATCTCTCCTCTGATGTGCACAATTGTGGCTCAGGATTATGAAGTTCCAGAGCAGAGGACAGGGAAGGAAAGAGGGAGCAAGTGCCTGGGAGGAGCAGTAGCCGGCTCTGCCACTCAAGTGTGTGCTTTTCCCCCAACCCACACCTGTCACTGAGGCAGCCGTCCCTGCTAATGGATGTGACTATGAAAGTATCGTATCCCAGTTCATCCAGAGACCAAATGGGGCCGCGTAAAAGAGCCACAGTTTTGCCTAAGTGAGATTGCAGCAGACACGAAGGAGAGCCAAGGCACTGGACAAGGACACAGGTCAGGCAGAAGCACAGGAACAAAACTGTTGGTCCCTGGTCGGGGTCCCCCAACTTCTCTTGCAAGCAAATCTACATATAAATCCACATTTTCTCATGACTATGGTTCAGTTGATGGTCAGCTTACAAGTAACACCTGGACATGGCAGTTTAGGGAGAGAAGGTTAGGAGGCCTAATCCTGTGATTTCTGGGGAAAAATGTTCTGTTGGAGGGGAACCCAATGTGCAGCCTCATGATAGAGTCCTGGGGAGATGGTTGATTTGTTAGATTCAGCCCCCAGAGGCTTGCCTTGGAGTCTCTCAGGGCTGACAGGACTAAGGGGGTCGCTAGTCAAGACAGGCCAGGGCACAGGCTCCTGGTGACGCATCTGTACTGGGTCTGCATTCTGAAAACAGCCTTGCTGGCCACTGGGCCATATGGACCTTGAGAGGGTCCCAAAGTCCATGAAATGGGGGGCATGGTGGAGATGGGAAGGCTGCATCCCTCGTCCCACTGGGTCCCCTGAGCCTCAGCGCCCTCCCTCCCTTGCTGGGGACAGCACTCTGTGGCTGCTGCTGGGCAGGGTGGGGCTTTGTCACCTGCTGAGTCCCCTCCATTGTCTCAGCGGACTCTGAGACTTTTCTTCAGGCTGGGCTTTTTCTGACTACTGGGGTGGTGGGGAGCAAGGCTGCTGTGCTACCTCATCCTATTGCCGACCCCCAGCGGGCCTCCCCTCTTTACCCAAGAGATAGCTTTTCCCTCATATCCCCACAAAATGCACACCTCTGCACTTTGAGGAGAATTCCAATGTGAAGTATGAGCTACAGGGTTGGAGGGCGTAATCTCAACTCCGTTACTGCAACTGTCCCCATAGTGTTGACAAATTGTATGCCGGGTTCTGGACAGAAATATCATTGTAATGAAGCATTACTCAGCGTGCACTTCTGCCCACTTCCTTGTTGCTGAAAGCCGTGCAGCACTGGATTCTGACCACTTACATCCCCGTTGTTCCTATAGACAGGATTTCTGGCATTAGGGTCCTAAGGCTGCTTAAGAATTAATTTGCATCTGCATTGTTCCCATAGACAGGATCTCTGACATAAAGATCACTTAATATGCTTTTCAGAACAGTGGATCAGAGTGAGAATACAGCTTCTTCATCTCGCCCTGCCCCAGGACTTCACCCTGCACTCATCAACCAATCAAGGATCTCCACACCTTGGCCCACTTCAAAACCTTTAAAAACTCTTACCCTAAACTCCTCAGGAAAATGGATTTGGGGTTCCTTCCCATCTCATTTGGTGACCCTACCTCTTTCTCTGCTGCAACCCAGTGTCTGGGCATATTGACTGGCTGTGTGCATTGGGCAATGAACCTATTTGTTAGGATGATGACAATGAATTCCTTCCCCATCTTGCTTGGGAAATATTCACACTTGTTTGGGGTGCACTTGAACCCTTGCCCACCAGTATGGATGAGACAATAAATTGTGCAGAAAAATGGCAACCAATATGGGAAAACCTAATTAGAATTAATGACAACATTCTTGGGTAATAACAATTGTGTTCATTAGGTTTGGTGCTGTTTTACATGCATTATTTCTTGTACTTCTCCCAGTACCCCTTATGAGATAAGAACTATCACCATCCTCATTCTTCCAAAAGAGGAAGCTGGGGCTTAGTGGTGTAAATACTTTGCCTGCCAGTGGCAGAGCCAAATGCCAGGGCAGACTTCAGAGCCTCGAGTACCTGTTGTTTTTGTTTTTGTTTTTTTTTTAACTGCAGGTCAAGTTTCTTTCTAGGTAATCTTATTTCCTTATTTTGGGTCAGAGAATCAGAGATTTGTTCTTATGTGTGGATGTCTTTATACATGCTCCTGATCCAAGGGAGAGGAGGTGTTGAGCCCTGTGGCTGTAGTTGAGAAGGGCAATTCTGAGAGACAGGACTAGCTGGATTTCCTAGGCCAACTAAGAATCCCTAAGCCTAGCTGGGAAGGTGACCACTTCCACCTTTAAACACGGGGCTTGCAACTTAGCTCACATCCAACCAATCAGATGGTAAGGAGAGCTCACTAAAATGCTAATTAGGCAAAAACAGAAGGTAAAGAAATAGACAATCATCCATTGCCTGAGAGCACAGCAGGGAGAACAAGGATCGGGATATAAACCCATGCATTCGAGCCAGCAATGGCTACCCTCTTTGAGTCCCCTCCCTTTGTATGGAAGCTCTGTTTTCACTCTATTTCACTATATTAAATCTTGCAACTGCACTCTTCTGGTCCGTGTTTGCTATGGCTCGAGCTGAGCTTTCGCTCACCGTCCACCACTGCTGTTTGCCGCAGTGGCAGACCTGCCGCTGACTTCCATGCCTCCAGATCAGGCAGGGTGTCTGCTGTGCTCCTGATCCAGTGAGGCACCCATTGCTGCTCCCGATCAGGCAAGAGGCTTGCATTGTTCCTGCATGGCTAAGTGCCTGGGTTCATCCTAATCGAGCTGAACACTAGTCACTGGGTTCCACAATTCTCTTCCATGACCCATGGCTTCTAATAGAGCTATAACACTCACTGCATGGCCCAAGGTTCCATTCCTTGGAATCCGAGAGGCCAAGAACCCCAGGTCAGAGAACGCGAGGCTTGCCACCATCTTGGAAGTGGCCTGCCACCATGTTGGGAGCTCTGGTAGCAAGGACCCCCCAGTAACAATTCTATCCCTCATCTCTTTTCTCTCTGTACCTGTGGGTGCTGGGGAAATGCCAAAACATGGTCAATGAGACCTTAAGGAATTAAGGATGCAAAATAGAACTGCAAGAGCCTTTGTGGTCACTGGGGACGGTCCCATTGATAGGGACAGGAGGCAGTGAAATTCTGGGCAGAAAAGGGTGGGTCCCCAGCGAGGGCTCCACCCTGAAGCCAAAAAGCCTAATACTGCAGCCCAAAGTGAGAACATACATCCCTGATTTCCCGTTCCAATGTTGCCTTTTCCAAAACCACCCATGGCCCACCTCACCCCCTATCCTGTGCCTATAAAAACCCCAGAACTCAGCTGGCAGAGAGGAGAAGCAGCTGGATATCAGAGACTACGGTCAAACGTGGGAGAGAAGTGGCTTGGCTTCAGAAGGACAGCTTGACAGCTTATCTTCGGAGTGGAGTCTGGCCAGGCATGGCTGGACTCCAGAGGAAGATCACCTTCCTGCCCCATCTGCTTTCTAGCTCCCCTTCCCACCGAGAGCCACTTTCATTGGCAATAAAATCCCCTGCATTTACCATCTTCAAGTTGTTCATGTGACCTCATTCTTCCTGAATGCCAGACAAGAACTCGGGTGCCATGAGTTGGGGTGCAAAAGGCTGTCACACTGACCTTCCATTGAGCTGTTAACACTTATGCTGTCCATGGATGGCAAAGCTAAAAGGGCACTGTAACCCCCCTACTGGGGCTTCAGGGTTGCAGTCACCCCTTAGATGTTGCCGTGGGGTTGCACAAAGTTTTGCTCCTGCCGGTGCCCAAAAGCGCTCACCCTGGCTCCTGCACCTGCTCACCTGTACTCCCCCTCCCACAAGGGGTGGAAGGCAGCAGGACCAAGCCAATACAGTCTGCCCCTGCTGGCACCAAAGTGGCTGGCTAGTTCTAGTGCCCATGCACTCTAGTTCCTGCCTGTGAAAGGGTCAGGAAAATATCCTGCCTCACCGTCAAGGCAGATGTGATGTAAGCAGTTAAGTGACTAAGTAAGGATTTGCTAAATACCAATCAGGCTAGAAAAATAAAGTCCTATTGCAGGGAGGGGTCCCCTGATGCTTTGTCTGCGTGGCAGAAGGGAAGTCAGGGGTTTAGGTAATGGATGAGATCCTGTGACATCTTAACTGGACCACTAGGAAAGAAACCCCAACATCAGTGGTTGAAACTGTGTTCAAAACACACAGACAAGGTTTGGGAAGCAGAATTAGAGTGTCCCCAGTCTGGAGTGATTTTCTTAGAAAGCAATTGCTTATGTAGATTGATGTGAGAACCTGGGCTCATGATACTTGTCCAGGAAGTGGAATTCACCATGTTAGTAGTTCTTTTCCTGCAAGGTTGATGCCAAGGCATACCTACATGGCTGCCCTCATAGGGAATTTAGAGTAGGAGCTTGGTTTTGAAGGATGGCCCGCTTCTCCTACTTGAGCAACTCATATTTTAGAATATAGTGAAAATTCATAATTTGAAAAAAAATTTAGACTCTTCCCTAAATTCACTGTGTCTTTCTGGAGTGTAGGCCAAGTTGAATGCAAACAGGGCTGCCGTAATTTCCCAGCTGCAGTTCCCAAAACTAGACTGTGGCTGCTTTGCAAGAATGACAACAATATGACTGGGGAGGAAGAGCACTCTCAGCCTCTGCTCCCTAGAGCCAAGTGACTGACTGCTTTCCAGCAGGAACAGTGCTGCCACTTCTCCCAGGACAAGCCCATTATTTTTAATGCTGGATTAATACATAATGATGAGTGGTACTTAACATGTTAATGGGTCATTAATTATTGCTGAAACTCTAATGAATTCTAGAGGTGGGGGACAAATAGCAAAGCACACAGATTTGGAGTGAATACCCTCCCAATTACCAAGATCATAGTGAATATGACATAAGTAGAAAATGATAGGATACTTAAAATTATATATCACCAACTGCATTTGTGAGACTTATGTCCTGCTTTTCCTACCATTCTCTGAGAGGAGACTTGAGGGCTAAACAGGGACAATGTAGCTATGCAACTGGGAGAAAAACCTCATTCTCCTGTATTATCTGCTCTAGACCCTGCAAATAGGCCAATGTGAATGTACAAGAGATTAAAGTATATTTCTACAAAGCAGCATTCCCTTAGGGAACCCAGTGAAAGCACACAAAGGATGTTTTGACTTTGCTCTTGCATTTTGATTCTTTTTTCCCCTAAGTGCAATATGACTAAGCAGGGTCAAATAGAGGTGACAATAGACGTTACTGTATGTTAGCAAGCACTCTGGTTCCCCTCACTTCAGACACTTACCACTGCACTCCCTAGTCACCCCTTTGAAGCCAGACCGTGCGACTTGCTTTGGCCAATACATTGTGTGATGTGTGTCACTTCTAGGCTGAAGCTTTATGAACAGCATGAGATTCGCGGCATCCCTTTTCTGCCTTGGCAATCATGGATGTGTGTGTTGAGATGGAGCCTTCATCATCTTCAGTCCCTGAGTTGTGATAATGAACAGAGACCTTCTCCCAACCCATATTGGAGCAAGAATGAGATATAACATTTTATAGTGTTAAGCCACTGAGATTTTGGGGGCATTTTTGTTCCAACAGCCCATTTTGACCAATACAACTTCAGAAACAATGGCCCTGGGTAAGTCAGAGGCATGGAACCCTCCCCAATGCTTGGTGATTTTGCTAACAGTGGGTTGGTGGTTTTAATATATGTCCCAAATTCTTTGACAGCATGCCTTCTTTCAAGGGAGAGCTTAATTTTTCTCCTCTTGAGTACAAGCTGAACTTGGTGACTTGCTTCTAATGAATAGAACAAGGCTAATGCTATGTGTCTTAGTCCATTTTGTGTTGCTATAAAGGAATACCTGACACTGGGTAATTTATAAACAAAGAGATTTATTTGGCTCACAGTTCTGCAGATTGTACAAGAAGCATGGCACCAGCATCTGCTTCTGGTGAAGGCCTCAGGCTGCTGCCACTCATGGTGGAAAGCAAAGGGGAGCTGTTGTATGCAAATATCATATGGTAAGACAAGAAGCAAGAGAGCAAGGTGGGAGATGACAGGCTCTTCTTAACAACCAGCTCTGGGGGAGAGGGGAGACTAACAAAAGCCAGAATTCATTCACCTCTCCCTCCCCTCCAGCCAGGGAGGACATTAATCTATTCATGGGAGATCCACCCCTGTGACTCAAACACCTCCCATTAGGCCCCGCCTCCAACATTGGGAATTAAATTTCAACATGAGGTTTGGGGAACAAATATCCAAACTATAGCAGCATGGCATTAGATGGCTGAGGCTACCCGATAAACACGCTTTGGGATTCCTCCTCACCCTCTCTCTGGAGAAAGCCTCTGACATATCATGGTGACACTCAAACAAACTGGAGAGCTCAAGAGGTGAGGAAGCGAGGCCTCCAGGGAACTTCGTGGCGACACATCATCTTGGAAATGGATCCTCCAACTCTGGCCTACATCTTGTCTACAACCTCATGAGAGACCCTGAGCTAAGTCATTTTTGAACTCCTGACCGAAAGACATTGTGAGATAATAAACTGTCGTTGTGTATATCACCAAGTATTGGGATAATTTGTCTTATAGCAATATATAACTAACACAATGGAAAAGGAATTAGATCCAGAAGTTTCGAAATTAAAAAGGTTACTTCTAGTGGTGCTGCCATTGCATTTTACCTTGCTAGTGGAAGTCTTTAGACCTCTTTCCCTATAATCTCCAATACTTCCCAAAGCTAACCCAAATAAACATGAGATATCAGTTTTAAAAAATCAGTGGACTCACTATGAAACAATAAATTCAAGATAAATTCCTGAATACGCTTTCCCAACCAAAGTTATTACCCTAAATCTCTCCTTGACAGAAATTCCAAAATTATTACCAATAACTTCAAAAATTACAGTTCCCAAATAGTGAGGAGACTGTTGCTAGCCCTTTGTCTTTATCTCAATAGGAGAAAGATTTTTAAATGCAGTGGATGTTGTGGACCATGAGAAGATTATCTTCTATAACAAAAATATATGTATGTATAATTTCTATTCATCATTTGTTAAGCTCCAGTGAAATGCAAAATACTTTTTCAAGCAAATAGCAAGTCTCAGTAAATACCTGCTATAAGCTCAAGATCAGAGCGGAGGAAACCCAAATGTGATATAAGCTCAGTTCTCACCTTCTAGGAGCTTAACATTTAGCTGGCGAGATCAGACATGCATGAAACAAATTGGAAAAATACAAAATGAAATTTAAGTGGTAATGGAATGTAGGGAAGAAAAAATAATTTCCTCTCTACTCTTTATAGTTCTTAGTTAGGATGGACCCCTGTAACAACAGATAGCCTAACGAGGGAAAAACAAATACAACTTTATTAACACATATAGCTCATGTATGCATGGGAGCTACCCAGAGAAAAAGAGTAAATCACAAAGAGGTGGCTGTGAGTTCAGGTTTAAATATGATTTTCAACTGAAACAAAGAAAGAAGGTGCCATGGTTTGAATGGCCACTCTGTCAGGCTTCTGAGCCCAAGCCAAGCCATCGCATCCCCTGTGACTTGCCCATATACGCAAAGATGGCCTGAAGTAACTGAAGAATCCCAAAAGAAGTGAAAAGGCCCTGCCCCTCCTTAACTGATGACATTCCACCATTGTGATTTGTTCCTGCCCCACCTTAACTGAGTGATTAACCCTGTGAATTTCCTTCTCCTGGCTCAGAAGCTCCCCCACTGAGCACCTTGTGACCCTCGCCCCTGCCCACCAGAGAACAACCCCCTTTGACTGTAATTTTCCATTACCTTCCCAAATCCTATAAAACGGCCCCACCCCTATCTCCCTTCGCTGACTCTCTTTTTGGACTCAGCCCGCCTGCACCCAGGTGAAATAAACAGCCATGTTGCTCCCACAAAGCCTGTTTGGTGGTCTCTTCACACGGACATGCATGAAATTTGGTGCTATGACTCGGATCAGGGGACCTCCCTTGGGAGATCAATCCCCTGTCCTCTTGTTCTTTGCTCCATGAGAAAGATCCACTTATGACCTCAGGTCCTCAGACCGACCAGCCCAAGAAACATCTCACCAATTTCAAATCCGGTAAGCGGCCTCTTTTTATTCTCTTCTCCAACTTCCCTCACTATCCCTCAACCTCTTTCTCCTTTCAATCTTGGCGCCACACTTCAATCTCTCCCTTCTCTTAATTTCAATTCCTTTATCCCAAATCAGATAGCGTTTAGGCTCCTTTTCATCAAATATAAAAATCCAGCCCAGTTCATGGCTCATTTGGCAGCAACCCTGAGATGCTTTACAGCCCTAGACCCTAAAACGTCAAAAGGCCGTCTTATTCTCAATATACATTTTGTTACCCAATCTACTCCCGACATTAAATAAAACTCCAAAAATTACAATCTGGCCCTCAAACCCCACAACAGGACTTAATTAACCTCACCTTCAAGGTGTACAATAATAGAAAAAATTTGCAATTCCTTGCCTCCACTGTGAGACAAACCCCAGCCACATCTCCAGCACACAAGAACTTCCAAACACCTGAACCGCAGCGGTCAGGCGTTCCTCCAGAATCTCCTCCCCCAGGAGCTTGCTACAAGTGCCAAAAATCTGGCCACCGGGCCAAGGAATGCCCGCAGCCTGGGATTCCTCCTAAGGCGTGTCCCATCTGTGCGGGACCCCACTGAAAATCAGACTGTTCAACTCACCTGGTAGCCACTTCCAAAGCCCCTGGAACTCTGGCCCAAGGCTCTCTGACTCCTTCCCAGATCTTCTCAGCTTAGCGGCTGAAGACTGACGCTGCCCGATCGCCTTGGAAGCCCTGTAGACAATTACAGATGCCGAGCTTCGGGTAACTCTCAGAGTGGAGGGTAAGTCCGTCCCCTTCTTAATCAATACGGAGGCTACCCACTCCACATTACCTTCTTTTCAAGGGCCTGTTTCCCTTGCCTCCATAACTGTTGTGGGTATTGACGGCCAGGCTTCTAAACCTCTTAAAACTCCCCAACTCTGGTGCCAACTTAGACAATACTCTTTTAAGCACTCCTTTTTAGTTATCCCCACCTGCCCAGTTCCCTTATTAGGATGAGACACTTTAACTAAAGTATCTGCTTCCCTGACTATTCCTGGACTACAGCTGCATCTCATTGCCACCCTTTTTCCCAATCCAAAGCCTCCTTTGTATTCTCCTCTTGAATCCCCCCACCTTAACCCACAAGTATAAGATACCTCTCCTCCCTCCTTGGCGACCGATCATGCACCCCTTACTATCTCATTAAAACCTAATCCCCCTTACCCCGCTCAATGCCAAGATCCCATCCCACAGCACTCTTTAAAATGATTAAAGCCTGTTATCACTCGCCTGCTACAGCATGGCCTTTTAAAGCCTATGAACTCTCCTTACCATTCCCCTATTTTACCTGTCCTAAAACTGGACAAGGCTTACGAGTTAGTTCAGAATCTTAGCCTTATCAACCAAATTGTTTTGCCTATCCACCCCGTGGTGCCAAACCCATATACTCTCCTATCCTCAATACCTCACTCTACTACCCATTATTTTGTTCTGGGTCTCACACATGCTTTCTTTACTATTCCTTTGCACCCTTCATCCAAGCCTCTCTTTGCTTTCACTTAGACTGACCCTGACACCCATTAGGCTCAGCAAATTACCTGGGCTGTACTGCCACAGGGCTTCACAGACAGCCCCCATTACTTCAGTCAAGCCCAAATTTCATCCTCATCTGTTACCTATCTCGGCATAATTCTCATAAAAACACAAGTGCTCTCCCTGCTGACCGTGTCCGATTAATCTTCCAAACCTCAATCCTTTACAAAACAACAACTCCTTTCCTTCCTAGGCATGGTTAGTGCAGTCAGAATTCTTACACAAGAGCCAGGACCGCACCCTGTAGGCTTTCTGTCGAAACAACTTGACCTTACTGTTTTAGCCTCGCCCTCATGTCTGCGTGCAGTGGCTGCCGCTGCTTTAATACTTTTAGAGGCCCTCAAAATCACAAACTATGCTCAACTCACTCTCTACAGTTCTCATAACTTCCAAAGTCTATTTTCTTCCTCATACCTGACGCATATAATTTCTGCTCCCCAGCTCCTTCAGCTGTACTCACTCTTTGTTAAGTCCCACAGTTACCACTGTTCCTGCCCCAGACTTCAATCCGGCCTCCCACATTATTCCAGATACCACACCTGACCCTCATGACTGCATCTCTCTGATCCACCTGATGTTCATCCTATTTCCCTACATTTCCTTCTTCCCTGTTTCTCACCCTGATCACGCTTGATTTATTGATGCCAGTTCCACCAGGCCTGATCACCACACACCAGCAAAGGCAGGCTATGCTATAGTACAAGCCACTAGCCTGCCTCTTAGAACCTTTCATTTCCTTTCCATCGTAGAAATCTATCCTCAAGGAAATAACTTCTCAGTGTTCCATCTGCTATTCTATCTGCTATTCTACTACTCCTCAAGGATTATTCAGGCCCCCTCCCTTCCCTACACATCAAGCTCAAGGATTTGCCCCCGCCCAGGACTGGCAAATTAGCTTTACTCAACATGCCCTGAGTCACAAAAACTAAAATACCTCTTAGTCTAAGTAGACACCTTCACTAGATAGGTAGAGGCGTTTCCTACAGGGTCTGAGAAGGCCACCGCAGTCATTTCTTCCCTTCTGTCAGACACAATTCCTTAGTTTAGCCTTCCCACCTCTATGTAGTCTGATAACAGACCAGCCTTTATTAGTCAAATCAGCCAAGCATTTTTTCAGGCTCTTAGTATTCAGTGACAGACTAATGGTCTATTAAAAACACACCTCACCAAACTCAGCCACCAACTTAAAAAGGACTGGACAATACTTTTATCACTTTCCCTTCTCAGAAGTCAGACCTGTCCTCAAAATGCTACAAGGTACAGCCCATTTAAACTCCTGTATAGACGCTCCTTTTTATTAGGCCCCAATCTCATTCCAGACACCAGACCAACTTAGACTGTGCCCCCAAATAACTTGTCATCCCTACTATCTTCTGTCTAGTCATACTCCTATTCACCATTCTCAACTACTCATACATGCCCTGCTCTTGTTTACACTGCCGGTTTACACTGTTTCTCCAAGCCATCACAGATGATATCTCCCCGTGCTATCCCCAAACTGCCACTCTTAACTCTTGAAGTAAATAAATAATCTTTGCTGGCAGGACTATGCTGAACCTCCTTAGGCACTCTCTAATTAGATGTCCTAGGTCCTCCCAATTCTTAGTCCTTTTATACCTGCTTTTCTCCTTCTCTTATTCCATTTAGTTTTTCAATTCATACAAAACCGTATCCAGGCCATCACCAATCATTCTATACGACAAATGTTTCTTCTAACAACCCACAATATCACCCCTTACCACAAGACCTCCCTTCAGCTTAATCTCTCCCACTCTAAGTTCCCACGCCGCCCCTAATCCCACTTGAAGCAGCCCTGAGAAACATCGCCCATTCTCTCTCCATACCACCCCCCAAAAATTTTTGCCACCCCAACACTTCAACACTATTTTGTTTTATTTTTCTTATTAATATAAGAAGGCAGGAATGTCAGGCCTCTGAGCCCAAGCCAAGCCATCGCATCCCCTGTGACTTGCACGTATATGCCCAGATGGCCTGAACTGAAGAATCATAAAAGAAGTGAAAAGGCCCTGCCCCACCTTAACTGATGACATTCCACCATTGTGAATTTTCTTCTCCTGGCTCAGAAGCTCCCCCACTGAGCACATTGTGACCCCCACCCCTGCCCACCAGAGAACAACCCCCTTTGACTGTAATTTTCCATTACCTTCCCAAATCCTATAAAACGGCCCCACTCCTATCTCCCTTCACTGACTCTCCTTTTGGACTCAGCCCGCCTGCGCCCAGGTGAAATAAACAGCCATGTTGCTCACACAAATCCTGTTTGGTGGTCTCTTCACACGGACACGCATGAAACACTCCAAAACTCATGTTGACCCTTTGTCCTCAGTGTGGCAGTATGAGAGGCGGGGCCTTTAAGAAGTGATTGGATCATGAGAGTTCCGCCCTAATGAATGGGTTAGCCCATTCATGTATTAATAGATTAATGGGTTATTATGGTAGGGGAACTGGTAGCTTTACAAGAAGAGGAAGAGAGACCTGGGCTAGCTAGCACATGAGCAAGCTCAGCCCCCTTGCCATGTGATGCTCTGTGCCTCCTTGGGATGCCTCAGAGACCTCTCCTAGAAAGAAGGTCCTCACCAGATGCAGCCCTCTGACCTTGAGCTTTCCAGTCTCCATGACTGTAAAAAATAAATTTCATTCTTTTTTAAAATTGAGACATAAGAGATGTATATATTTTGGGGTTACATGTGATCTTTTGATACATATGTATAATGTGTAATAATCAGATTAGGGTAATCGGAACATCCACTACCTTAAACATTTATCTTTTCTGTACTCTGGGAACATTTGAATTATTCTCTACTAGCTATTTTGAAATATACAATGAATTGTTGTTTACTATAGTCACTGTACTGATTTATTGAACATTAGGTCTTATTTCTTGTAACTGTATTTTTTCTATCAATCATCCTCTATCCACTTCTCCCCTCTACTCTGGCCTCCGGTATCCACCAATCTACTCTCTATCTTCATGAGATCCGCTTTGTTAGCTCCCACATATGAGTAGAACATGTGGTGTTTGACTTTCTGGGCTTGGCTTATTCTACTTGACATAAGTTCGTCTCTGTCGCTGTAAATGATGAGATTTTATTCTATTTTAGGACTGAATAATATCCTATTGTGTATATACACCAAGTTTTCTTTAACCATTCATCCATTGATGCGCACTTGGGTTAAGTCCATATTTTGGCTATCATGAATAGTGCTGCAATAAACATGAGGGTGCAGATATCTCCTCGATACATTGATTTCCTTTCATTTGGATAAATAACCCAGCTGTGGGATTGCTGGGTCATATGGTAGTTCTATTTTTAGTTTTTTGAGGCACCTCCATATACTTTTTCATAATGATTGTGCTGATTTATATTCCTATCACCAGTGTACGAAGGGTTCCCTTTCTCCACAATATCACCAGCATTTGTTGTTTCTATCTTTGATAAAAGCCATTTTAACTGAGATGAGATGATATCTCACTGTGGTTTTGGCTTTCATTTCTCTGGTGGTTAAATTAATGATGTTGAGCATTTTACACATACCTATTGGCCATTTGCATGGCCTCTTTTGAGAAAAGTCTATTCAGATCTTTCACCTGGTTTGAAATTGGATTGTTTACTGATTTTGCTATTGAGTTGTTTGAGTTCCTTATATATTCTTGTTATTACTCCCTGGTCACATGGCTAGTTTGCAAATATTTTCTCCCATTCTGTGGTTTGTCTCTTTGTTACAGTAGGTAGCTAGTCATACATGAGCAGGGCAGGAGAAGGCCCCCCGCAACCAGGAATGTCAGGTGATCAACAGGTGATGGTCAGGCGGTTGTTAACTGTCTGTCTAAAATACTTGGTCACAGCCAGCTCCAGGGAAAGGCAGTCTCTCAATAGATAGAAAAAACCTCAAATTAGTGATAGCAGCTTCCTGATAATGAGAGACAGGACTAGCTGGATTTCCTAGGCCGACTAAGAATTCCTAAGCCTAGCTGGGAAGGTCACCACATCCACCTTTAAACACCGGGCTTGCAACTTAGCTCACACCTGACCAGTCAGATAGTAAAAAGAGCTCACTAAAATGCTAATTAGGCAAAAACAGGAAATAAAGAAATAGCCAATCATCTATTGCCTGAGAGCACAGAGGGAGATAAATGATCAGGATATAAACCCAGGCATTCAAGCCAGCAATGGCTAACCTCTTCGGGTCCCCTCCCTTTGTATGGGAGCTCTGTTTTCACTCTGTTAAATCTTGCAACTGCACTCTCTTCTGGTCCGTGTTTGTTACGGCTTGAGCTGAGCTTTTGCTCGCCATCCACCACTGCTGTTTGCCGCCATCATAGACCAGCCACTAACTTCCATCCCTCTGGATCTGGCAGGGTGTCTGCTGTGCTCCTGATTCAGTGAGGCGCCCATTGCTGCTCCCGATCGGGCTAAAGGCTTGCCATTGTTCCTGCATGGCTAAGTGCCCAGATTCATCCTAATCGAGCTGAACACTAGTCACTGGGTTCCACGGTTCTCTTCTGTGACCCACAGCTTCTAATAGAGCTATAACACTCACTGCATGGCCCAATATTCCATTCCTTGGAATCCGTGAGGCAAAGAAACCCAGATCAGAGAACACGAGGCTTGCCACCATCTTGGAAGTGGCCTGTCACCATCTTGGAAGTGGCCCGCCACCATGTTGGGAGCTCTGGGAGCAAGGACCCCCCAGTAACAATAAGATCTCAGGAGTTGGATGAGTGGGCTCAAGCATGTGCACAAAGAGACAAAATGGCAGAGTTTAATGGGTATATGACCTTCCTCTAGGAACATTCAACTGGTTAAGGGAAAAACACCTCAAGTGAGCATGTATACAACTCTAGTAAACACACTGTGTATGTGGCCCCTCCCAGGTGCTGGCAGGCCACTGTGCATACAGACAGCCCACTCCAAGGGAAGAATCAGGGGAGAAGCAGCACAACACCCCTGAAGCATGCCAACGTATAAAACCCCAAGTGAAAAAGTCAAACGGTGCACTTGATCTCTCAAGTCACCTGCTTGGCCCTCTTCCAAGTATACTGTACTTCTTTTCATTCCTGCCCTAAAACTTCTCAATAAACTTTCACTCCTGCTCTAAAACATGCTTTAGTCTCTCCTTCTGCCTATACCCCTCCACTGAATTCTTTCTTCTGAGGAGGTAAGAACTGAGGTTGCTGGAGACCTGTATGGATTTGCTGTTGGTAACATCTTCACTTTTTTGATTGTTTTCTTTGCTGTGCAGAAGCTTCTTAGCTTGATGAAATCCATCTGTCTGTTTTTGTTTTCATTGCCTGTGCTTTTGAGGTCTTACTCAAAAATTATTTGCCCATACCAGTGTCCTGGAGTGTTTCTCCAATGTTTTCTTCTAGCAGTTTTTTAGTTCCAGGTCTTAGATTTAAGTCTGTAATCCATTTTGTTTTTATTTCTGTGTATGGTGAGAGATAGCATACATTCCCCAATGTATGCTCTTGGCACCCTTGTCAAAAATGTTGGCTGTAAATGCATAGATTTATTTTCGGGTTCTTTATGCTATTCCATTGGTCTATGTGTCTGTTTTAATGTCAATACCATGCTGTTTTGATTACTACAACTTTATAGTATATTTTGAAGTTAGATAATGTGATGCCTCCAGCTTTTTTTTTTTGCTTAGAACTTTTTATTTATTTTTTTGCTATTCAGGGTCTTTTGTGGTTCCATGCAAGTTTCAGGATTATTTTTTCTATTTCTGTGAAGAAGGTCATTGACATCTTGATCAGAATTGCATTGAGTCTGATCACATTGAGTAGTATTGAAATTTTAGTAATATTAACTCTTTAAAGTACCTAGTTTCAGGCATTATGTTATAAGCAATAGAAAATGGACTAAGACAGAAAGGCATTGGGGGGCCAATAATGGGGAAGTTACAAGGAAAAACTCAGTAAACAAGGGTAAGGTTTGTTATGTAAATTTAAGTCAGTGCCTTCTCCATTGGTAAGACTCAGTAACTTAGAGTCATTCTTTTCTTCCTTGTACAGACAGGGAGACACCCTTACAAATGGAGATCTTCTTTATACATGTAAGGTCTCTACCAAAGGGTAACTGCTGCACTATTTTTACAGTTTCTCCTGTGTCTAAAGTTTCTGAAAATAATCAGCTCAAATAATCCTTATGCGAAAGAAGCACATTTTAGGGGAGTCATAGTCTGAACTCCTGCAATGTGATAAAGACTGCACATGTAATAATTCTGGAGAAGCCAGGGTACATAAAGCCATGTGAGTCACACTCTCTGCTTGCAAAAGGGTTATCTCCTCAAGCTTGAGTAGGATGGTCCAAGCCTGTGGTTTTATCCCAGGCATGTGGAGGAGTTGGCAGATTAGAAAGAAAAAGGCCTGAGCAGTGCTGAGTGGGCAAGGGCAGCAACACTCTTCTAAAGGGCCAGGGAGTTTTGGACTGAGATGAACTAGATGACCATTAAGATTTATTCCAGTCTAAGATCCAATGCTTCTGTGACTCTAACATGTTTTACAGTTTCTTGTTTTGATGCTGCAGTATTACTAATAGCTATTATTTACTAAGCCACTTACTGTCTCATGTGTCCATATGAAGAGACCACCAAATAGGCTTTGTGTGAGACACAAGGCTGTTTATTTCACCTGTGTGCAGGCGGGCTGAGTCCAAAAAGAGACTCAGCAAGCATGGTGGGATTATCATTAGTTCTTGTAGGTTTGGGGATAGGCGGTGGAGTTAGGAGCAATGTTTTGTGGGCAGGGGGTGGATCTCACAAAGTACATTCTCAAGGGTGGGGAGCATTACAAAGAATCTTCTTAAGGGTGGGGGAGATTACAAACAATCTTTTTAAGGGTGGAGAAAATCACAAAGTACATTGATCAGTTAGAGTGGGGCAGAAACAAATCACAATGGTGGAATGTCATCAGTTAAGGCTATTTTCACTTATTTTGTGGATCTTCAGTTGCTTCAGGCCATCTGGATGTACGCGTGGCAGGTCACAGGGGATATGATGGCTTAGCTTGGGCTCAGAGGCCTGACACTTACTATTGAAACTGCCATTGCAAAATTGTAACTGAGGCAATGAAAGAGATCTGACCTAACCAACTCCGTCTTGCTTCTAACCTCCAAGCTATCCTTGCTCGTTCCTGGATGCAGGCTGAACTAACTTTGGGAGAAACTTAGTTTATAGTTTAGTGTTTAAAACAAAGACGATAATAGCTCTTTCACAAAAATCAACCTTCCTCTTGCCTGGGGACTAGATTCCCTTTGTAGGACTAACAAATTAGCCACAAGATTAGAAATTATGGTTTAGGAGTCATGCCACCGGAAGATTCTGACCCTCCTTAAACTATTCCTAAAATCAGTGCTTGAGCTGTTTTGCAGAGATATTTTGCAGATGCTTCACTTGATGGATTAGCTGGCACCACCCAGATCGATAAACTGGCTCATCTGATCTTGTGGCTCCAACCCAGGAACTGACTCAGGGCAAGAAGACAGCTTTGACTCCCGATGATTTCATCTCTGACCTGACCAATCAGCACTCCTGGCTCACTGGCCTCCCCACATCCACCAAGATGTCCTTAAAAATTCTGATTCCGGAATGCTCGGGAAGACTGATTTGAGTAATAATAAAACTCTGGTCTTCCACACAGCCAGTTCTGCATGAATTACTCTTTCTCTATTGCATTTCCCCTGTCTTGATAAATCGGCTCTATCTAAGCAGTGGGCAAAGTGAACCCACTGGGCGGTTACGCTATGGGCCAGGGTTTGCTGACTACTTCGTATGTATAAGGTTATTTATTCTTCATGATAACATAATTTTTAAAAAGGCATTGTCTTCCCCACTTTACAAATGAGACAACTAAAGTGCAAAAAGTGTAAGTAACTTTCAAAGATCACAGAATTTGAATGCGATGGCCAGGGCTGAGTCCATGCTCTAGACAGTAGTGTTCAACCTCTTCCCTTGGTGCTACCAGCTGGGGCCTGTACTAGTTTTCTATCCTCACCCTTGCACCATGACTTGGAGTCTCTCTGGAAGCTGACAGGAGAATTTCAGAGAAGGCACGACGCATCAGTGCCACTGGGAGGAAAGAAGCTTTTGTTTGATCCTCTAAGCCCCAGTTGGAACCAATCTTCGCAGTGGTGTTGGCAGCCTCAGGACTCTCTGGGGACTTTCCCATTCTGGAAACTGAAGATCTGCTTAAGCGCTGCACAGGTGACAGTTACCCGATCCTCGGCTAGCTCTTTGCTGTGGTGGCCAAGAAAATGCTCATTAAGTTTGGAGTTCTGTTTCCTTAGTTCCTTGTCCTGACAGCCTAAATGATTTCAGATTTTTCCAGTAGTGTGCTCTTCTCCCACCTACAAAACAAAATGTACATGTGCTTCCTAGGTTAAGGGATGGTTTTATTTAGGTCCAACTGGATGGTGGGAACTGAGAAATACTGCATTCGAGGACCGGGGCAAGTTCTGAAGCTCCTAAGCAGTGGGTGCCCACGGAGAATACATTTCAGGTCCATTATTCATGACTTAAGTTGATGTTCTCAAGCATTAGGCCAAAGACCTGAAAAATACAATAATCCCCGAGAAATGTACTGCCCAGAATGTCATATTATCCCACAAGGAGGAATGCCTAACCAAGACTAGGAAAAGGACAAGGCCAAACCCCTTGCTGGGATGTACAAAGTATAATTGCAAATTGTCAGTAATGAAGAATGCCGCATGGTCAGTTGTGTTTACTGGAACTTGTCTAGTGATATCACTGACAGTCAGCAAGGGAGGTCAGGTTCCTGCTGCCTCACGGCCTCCCATAAAAGACAGGAGTAAACTTCTTTGAGTATAATGAGTCTCCCTTTTCCTGTTCCTCTCTCCTTCCATGTATACCTGCTGCTTTCTTTCGAACTAGAAATCTATTTCATTTTGTTTGGAGAATAAAGTCTTTGGTAGATGCTAGTTACTGAATTCATGTGCTGCTTAAGCTCAGAAGACACACGTGGACAGAAACCCTCCTACAGGGAAGTCGAGACTTTCCCTCTGAAAGTTCAAGTCTAAATCTGTTGAAATGAATTTATAAGAAATATATTAACAGAAAATAAGATGCACAAATGTATTAATGTGCACATGGACACGAGAGTCACACAAGTACAAGACTCAAAGAAGGGCCAGATGGTTGAGGCTTATATACTCTCTTCATAGAAGAGAGGGAGATGGGGAAAATGAAAGCAATTTACGGGATTGCAAATAATTTTTAGGGGAATTGAGAGGACTTGGGAGGCAGATATTATCTTGTAAATATTCTTAGGAAACTGAATGGGACCTGCAAGTTACAGGAAAGTGAGGGGCAGAACTGCACTGTGAACAGAGGTGGTCTTATTATGTAGAAAGCCTCCCAGGCAATCTATCGGAGCTGTCCTCAGAAGAACAAATAAAATCTATCTGGGTGCATTTGTGGCTTTTAATCACTTATCTTCTTCTCAGATAAGAAAATTCCAGAGTCCCTTCTTGCACTTGGGGGAAGAGGGTGTGGGGTGAGAGAGGAACAAAAGATTAGAAAGGTTTTGGTTCTGAGGCAGCTTCTAAGGCCTTCCAATTTCTTTTGTCAGCAACAACAAGAACAAAAAGCAAACCCTGTAAAATATTTAAAGAGGCTTATTCTGAGACAATATGAGTGACCACGGCCCAGAGAACAGTCTCACAAAGTCCTGAGAAAGTGTCCCCAAGGTGGGCAGGTTACAGTTTGGTTTTATGCATTTTAGGGAGACAGAAGTTACAGACAGACATAAATCGATACATGTAAGGTATATATTTGTTTGGCCTGGAAAAGCAGGACGTCTCAAAGTGGCAGATTATAGGTGCATTCATAAGGGAATACTATGAGTGGAAAGATGTTCCTGTGAGTGGAATCCACTCACAGGTGGATTCAAAGATTTTCTGATTGGCAAGTCATTGAAAGAGTTCAGCTAAAGACTTCAAGTCAGTAGAAAGAAATACTTAAGTTAGGATAAAGGGGTTTGTGGAAGCCAAGGTTCTTGTTATATAGAGAAAGCCTCCACGTAGCAGGCTTCAGAGAGAATAGATAGTAAATACCTTTTTTGAGACCTTAAAAGGTGTCAGACTCTTAGTTAAATTCTCCTACATCCGGGAAAGTTCTGGCTGCACTAAATGTGATTCTCTACAAGCACAAAATTTTCCCCACAAAAGAAAACTTTTCAGCCATAAAAAATGATGAGTTCATGTCCTTTGTAGGGACATGGATGAAATTGGAAATCATCATTCTCAGTAAACTATCGCAAGAACAAAAAACCAAACACCGCATATTCTCACTCATAGGTGGGAATTGAACAATGAGAACACATGGACACAGGAAGGGGAACATCACACTCTGGGGACTGTTGTGGGGTGGGGGGAGGGGGGAGGGATAGCTTTAGGAGATATACCTAATGCTAAATGATGAGTTAATGGGTGCAGCATACCATCATGGCACATGTATACATATGTAACTAACCTGCACATTATGCACATGTACCCTAAAACTTAAAGTATAATAATAATAAAATTAAAAAAAAAAGAAAACTTTGCAGAACCATTTCAAAATATGTCAAAGAAATCTACTTTAGGGTAAAATATTTTTATTTCTTTCAGGATCTGCTATCTGTCATGTGATGCTATACCAGAGTCAGGTTGGAATTTGGTATCTTATTGCTGAAGAGTCCGTTCTGCTAGTCTTAGGATCTCTATTTTAATGTTAGTGCTGGTCACTTGTACCTAAATTCAAAAAGGCAGGGAGTAACAGGAGGCCTGTTCAAACTTCCTTCCCATCATGGCCAGGAATTCAGTTTTTCAGGTTTCTCATGGCCCAGAGGGGGTCTGTACAATTGGTTGTGGGGGCTTAGAATTTTAGTTTTGGTTTATATATTTAATCTGAAGTGGCCAGTATGCCACAGTGCCATATATTGGGGTTATTCTCTTGCCCCAACATCCTAATCCCCAAATGTTGATATTTTAGTGTATGCAAACTTGCTTCTATTTTTCTTCTGAGAATTTTAGCTTTCCACTAAATCCATAAGTCATTCCTTTAAATCCACAAGTCCTTCCTTTTGGGGATTATTAAAAGTGCTGGGGACTTAGAGATAGGAAAGAGACTAAGAAGAAGGCAGGGTAAGGAAATGAGTCCAACGTTGAAGTTTAGGGATGGAGATGGGAAACTGAGGATGGCAGGACCAGCCCAGAGCTGCCCCTCGGCCTCTGACCAGAGGGGAGAGGGCCCCTCCCAGAAGGCAGCCCTAAAGCAGAGCCCAACGGGCCATGCGTGCAGGAGGAAGGAAGCAGGCCCAGCAAAAAATTCTCTTTTAGTTCCCTCTTAGGGTGCAGATGAGGGTGGAGGGGAGTGAAGTCAACCTGTTCTGAATGTGAGGCCTGTGTGCTTTCTGGGACACCAGGGATTTGGGACCCACTGGAGGTTCACAGAGATATTCTTAGGGAGCCTGACTGTTCTCAACGAGAATGTTTAAGTTTGTGTTTTAATTTTAAAACTCTATCTGTAAGCCATTCTGGATTATCCTGGTGACATTCTTAGCAGCATTTTCAGGTTCTCCATTGGAGTTTTGTGTTTCTAGGCCTGGCCTCATGTGGCGAGAGTTACTGATCACAGCTCATAACAAGTCAACAGACAGAGGCATAGGAAGGCCAGCTGATAGCCAGGTGACACCCCACATGCTCAGCAAATGGGAAGCTGGCAGCCCTGCATATAGAAAAAGTGGTGGGAGCAGGACATCATCCCAGAGTGTATGGTGGGATGGGAGTTACAAACTGAAAAGAACTGCAAATTCAAGGCTATAGGCACACTGAAAATATCTATTTAGTGTCTGCAAAACATCTACCACATTAGTGTTGTCAGTTTCCGTTTTTATAGTTTTTTTGGTAGTTATATATATATATGTATTTTCTGGGTTTTATAGTTGTATAGATCTCTATACAGAATAGAAACCTAGAATTATGCTTTTTTTTATGAAGCACACACATACAAAAGTAAAGGCAAAAGAAGTCGACACCAGACAACTGTCGGGTTTTTGGGGATTTTTTTGTTTTTGTTTTCCTTAAGCGTAACAAAAAATCAGCATGTTCCTCATTTTGACGCTAAGCTGATGAAAGCTCCTCCTTTATGTCAGTATGGTTCCCCTCTGGGATCTGTGCAATCCTCTGCCAAATGGAAGGACCCTTACTGAAGGTGTAACAGACACATCCACAAGTCTGTCCTGTAATGTCACGTGTAAATCGTGATGGCTGCAACAAAATCAAATCAACAGGACAAAACAAAACAAAGCAAAACGGGTTAAGTAGAGAATAAACTCAGAACACCATAACCTTTGAAGCTAAGAAAAGAAGCAGACTCATGTGGCAGACATTATATTTTTTACTGTGGTAATATATTCCTAACATAATGTTTATCATTTTAACCATTCGTGAGTGTGCACTTCAGTGGCATTACACACATTCATATTGTTGTGCAGCCATCAGCACCATCTATATTCCAAAACCTTTTCATTCTACCCAACAAAAATGTTGTACCCATTAAATAATAGCTCCCAACTCTTTCCTCCTAGCTTGTGATAACCCCTCTTCTTCCTGTCTCTATGAAATTACCTACTCTAGGTACCTCATGTAAGTGGAATCATACAGTATTTGTCTTTCTGTGACTGGCATATTTCACTTAGCATTATTCCTTAATGTTAATCAATGTTTTAGCATATATCAAAGTTTAATTCCTCTTTGTGACTGAATAGTATTCCATTGGACAGACATACCACATTTTATTTATCCATTCATCCATCAGTGGCTTTACGGCTTTTGTGAATACTGTTGCTGGTGTACAAGTATCTGTCCCAGTCTCTAATTTTAATTTATTTGCACATATTCCTAGGAGTGGAATTTTGGGGTCATATGGTAATTCTGTTTAATCTTTTAAGAAATTGATAAATTGTTTTCCACAGTGGTTGGACCATTTTACATACCCACCAGCAATAAAAAAAGATTCTAATTTCTCTACATCTTTGCCAATATTTGTCATTTCCCCCTACCACCCCCTACCTTTATTTTCTAAGAGATAGGGTCTTGCTATGTTGACTAAGCTGGTCTTGAACTCCTGGCCTCAAGTGATCCTCCTGCCTCCCATCTCCTCCCCTCTCAGTTTACTGGAGGGCTTCTGAGAAAGAGTTTTGCACAATTAAAAAATACACAAGAAAGAGGCAGTCCTTTTTCTTCTGGATTTTTTTGTTTTAGATGAGATATCTGGAATTGCACAGCCAACTTACCACCGTGAGGGCAACTGTCCTGAAGACCAATCCAACCTGTGGAAGTCAGCAGAGCAGAAAGAGTAGATCTCTGGTCCCCAAAGACGTTGTTGAGTTATCAGGTGAGCCAAACTTGGAGCTGCACCACCTTGGAACATCTTGTCATATGTGATTATACATCTCTAACTGACAAGGACGTTGGAGTCAGGGATTTCTGTTCCTCGAAGCCAAAGCCATTTTAATTAGGATTTTTAAAATTTCTTCTTTGAAATGCACACAATTATACATATAAAATTAATATATATTGACCAAATATTTATGGCATCAAACATCAGTTTGATTTTTTTTCTTTTTTTTTTTTTAAATTATACTTCAAGTTCTGGGATACATGTGCAGAACGTGCAGGTTTGTTACATAGGTATACACGTGCCATGGTGGTTTGCTGCACCCATCAACCCGCCATCTACATTAGGTATTTCTCCTAATGCTATCCCTCCCCTAGCCCCTCACCCCCTGACAGGCCCCGATGTGTGATATTCCCTTCCCTGTGTCCATGTGTTCTCATTGTTCAACTCCTACTTATGAGTGAGAACATGCGGTGTTTGGTTTTCTGTTCCTGTGTTAGTTTGCTGAGAATGATGGTTTCCAGCTTCATCCATGTCCCTGCAAAGGACATGAACTCATCCTTTTTTATGGCTACATAGTATTCGTGATTTTTTTTAAGAGACAAGATCTCGCTCTGTTGCCCAGGCTGGAGTGTGGTAGCAAACATAGTTCACTGCAATCTCGAACTCCTGGGCCCAAGCAATCCTCCTGTCTCAGCTTCTGGCGTCTCTGAAACTACAGGCACACACCATCATGCCCAGCTAATTTTCTTTATTTTTAGTAGAGATGAGGTCTCACTCTGTTACCAGGCTTGTCTTGAACTGCTAGGCTCAGGTGATCCTCCTACCTTGGCCTCCCAAAGCATTGGGATTACAGGCGTAGGCCACTGGACTCAGCCTTAATTTGATCTTTGTCAGCACTGTAATAGCTCACAATCTGCTTATTGGAAGATAAGCGATGCAATATAAAACCTTATGAGATTAAGTATCAAAGGAAATATCACAGCCAGTCAGTGGTTCAGAGGAAGGAGTGAGGTTTGAGGCTGGAGTGGGATCCAGGCCAAAGTGGAGGTCATAGCTGAGCTGGACCTTGGAGGTGGGCAGGATCACAAGAAGACAAATGGAGGGGGCATTTTCTCCACTCTTTAGTCACATTTCTTTTTATAAGGAAAAAAAGTGCCCATATACCAAAGATTGTGCTCAGGAATTTCTGATAGTGATTGAAGCAATCCCTCTCTCTAATCTCACTCTCCCTGCATTCCTTCAAGTACAAGCTGTTTTCAAAATATTCTAGCACATTTCTTTGCAAACTGTTTTCATCATTTGGAACTTGCTATCTCACCTAAATGGAATGTGAGTTTACTCAGTTCAGAGTTTTTCAGATGTGATAGGAGGAGTCACATGAGCTGAAGCAAACCACCCAGCGGCCCCTGGAAAGATCTTCAAGCTCCCAGTCGTGGGTGGGACCCTTCCGACCCTACAGTGTACTGATTAAAATACAAGAAAAACAGATGAACAAAACCCAAAGCAGCTGCCCTTGCTTGCTCAGTGTGTTTGGATCCTGGAGGGGCTAGAGAGAAAGGAAAAGAGGTGTCCCTTAGTGAGGAGTGACCAAATGTCCCCTCCCCTTGTTACACACTGCAGGACAGCATTCTGCTTCCACAGGACAACTCAGAGAGGCCACATCCTGCTGTCTGTAAACACTGCTGCTGTGTGTAAATAAATCTCATTCCTGGAAGGGTCTTGGGCTGGAGTGAGCAGCTTGATCCATACCAGAGACAGTGAGCCTCCAAGACAAGGCACAGGGGAGAGGACAGACGGCCAGGCCTGGGTCTGCGGCAGGCCACTGCGAACCCCCAGGAAGTCACTTAACAGTCCTGGTTATTCACCATGGAAATGGGAACCCGAATGCTGGGCTCAGGTGGTTGCTGTGAGCAGTACATTAAAACATTTTCCGTATGGCTGTCATTGGCAACGGGGTAGTAGTGAGTGGTGGAAAGATGCGTTATTGGTCTTTGCCCCACCTTCAGAAAGGCATCAAATTTAGGGATTTAGTTGTATCTTTAAATAAGATCATCCACACGGTCATTGTGTTTTATGTGTGCGTGGTGAACAGGGAGACAGCGATGCTAAAACTATGAATTTGTTAAATGTGAAAAATTAAAATATACCATAATTGTTATTACCTTGTCTTGGAGGACTGTGTGTGTGTCTTATATACAGATTTTCTTCTGCCTCTGCCACCCCTGAGACAGCAAGACCAACCCATCCTCCTCCTCCTCAGCCTGCTCAATGTGAAGAAAATGAGGATGCAGACCTTGATGATGATCCACTTCCACTTCATGAATAGGAAATACATTTTCTTTTCCTTATGATTTTCTTAATAACATTTTCTTTTCTTTAGCTTACTTTGTTATAAGAATACAGTTTTATTACATATAATGTACAAAATATGTGTTAACCAACTGTTTATGTTATCAGTAAGGCTTCCAGTCAACAAGAGGTTATTAGTAATTAAAGTTTTAAAGAGTCAAAAGTTATAAGCAGATTTGTGACTGGATGGAGGGTCAGTGCCCCAATCCCTGCATTGTTCAGGAATCCACTGTATTGTATAAGTATGTGTGTGTATGTGTATATATATACCTATATATATACACGTGTATATATATATATTCATATATATATATATACACGTGTATATATATTTTATACACACACACCCACACTCACACATATATCTCCATTCCTGGAAATACTCCAGGCTTGAGTGTATGTATTTCCAGGAGCCTTAAAAAATGGCAACTGCTCAGGAGTGTCTTGACTTCTGAGAGGCTTGCAAAAGATCTAGCAGACAGAGCCCTTCTCAAGTCTGCAGGACAAGGGAAAAAGCATTAGAGAAGGGCAGGCTGGTTTTCAGAGATGTTTCAAGACCCATGGAGACAGGAGCCCCAGGGCGAAGTGTGTGCATTTTGGAAGAATTTGGTAAAGAGAACCACCCATCTGTGCTGGCCCCTATTTTCTCTGCAAGAGAATCTGCTTCATAGGTGCTATGAAATTGCAATTGTGATTGAGCTATTAAATTGCTGCCCATGCCAAACCTGGCTCCATTGAGAGCTGAAGATGTTTCTGAGCTAAATGAACTGCCATCCACATAAATACAGTCACAAGCACGCCCAGGAGCTGGAGCCATCTACCAAGCCCAACGTTCACCTCTTCTTTATTTCTATTTAAAAAACAAACAAGCAAACAAAAAAACTTTTGTTGACATATAACAAACACATCACAAAATGCACTATCTGTAAGGGTACAACTCAGAGCATTTTACAGAGTGAACGCTCCCGTGCCATTCCACCCAGATGAGTACAAAGAGCGTTACCAGCATGCCAGAGCCCTCCTCACACCCTACCAGGTGAGTGTGCCTCCCTCCCAAAGCACCCCCAGCTTCACTTCTAAGACCTTGGATTGCTTGTGCCTGTTTTTAACCTTTATGTAAATGAAATCACACAGTATGTGCATGCTCTTTAGTTTCTGGCCTATCTTGCCCAACCTGATGTCTGTGTGATTCGTTTCTGATCTTCCATGAAGCACCATTTTCATTATTGTATAGGATTCCATTGCATAAATAGACTACCATTTATTTCTCTGTTCTACTATCAAGGGACATTTGGGTTGTCTCTGG
Source organism: Homo sapiens (assembly GCF_000001405.40). NCBI lineage: Eukaryota > Metazoa > Chordata > Mammalia > Primates > Hominidae > Homo > Homo sapiens. Next base: position 228,966,657 of record NC_000001.11, read on the forward strand.
ATTTTGGCTGTTATAAATACTGCCAATAGAAAGCTTTTTTGTTTATGCATTTGGGGAGGGGGAGGATACACCTAAGAATGAAACTGCTGGCCCACGGGGTCTGCGTATTCAGTTTCCAATGGTTATCCAGGGTGGCTGAGTCAGCTGATACTCCCACCAGCAGAGCCAAGAGTTTCTGTTGCTCCACATCTTATGGACTCTGGGTATTGTCAGTCCTTTTCATTTTCACTCTTCTGGTGGTTGTGAGGGGGTATCTCATTATGGTTTTAATTTAAATCTCCGGGATGTTTGATAAGGTTTAGCACCTTTTCATATGTTTATTAGCTATTTAGAGGTTCTCATGTGTTAAGTGCCTATTCAGGTCTTTGGCCAATTTTTCTACTGGGTTGTCTGTCCTTTTCATATTGATCAGTAGGAGTCTTTTATTTATTCTTCTTATGAACCTTTTTGTTACATGTTGCAGATATCTTCTTTTCATTCTTTTAATGGTATACTTTGATGAACAGAAGTTATAAATTTTAATATAGTCCAGTTTATCAATCTTTCCCTTTATGGCTACTGCTTTTTGTGTTCTCTACCTCAAAGTCACAAAGACAGTCTCCAATGTTATGCTCTATGAGCCTTATTATTTTATCTTTCACATTTTGATCTGTGGTCCACCTGAAATTGCTTTTGGTATATGATAAACGTCAAGATTATTCGTTTTTTGGATATCTAATCAACCCAGCATCATTTGTTTTTTAAAAAAATCCTTTCTCCATTATTTTATGTGCTACCTTTGTCATAAATCACATATCCATATAATGTGGGCCTATTGCTGGACTCTATTCTGTACCATGGGTCTACCCATATATTCTTGCTGCAGTCCTGCACTGTCTTAACTACTATCGATTTATGAGTCTTTATGTCTAGTAGTGCATGTCCCACAACTATTTTCTTCTTCTTTAAGTTTGTCTTAGCGATTTTTAGCCTTTTACATGTGGCTATATATAAATTATAGCATCAGCTTGTCGGTTTCCACCACAAATTCTGCTGGGATATTGATCAGAATTTCATTAAATCAATATAGACCCTTTAGGAAACAATCAATACCTCCAAATATTTAGTTTTTTTGAATCCATGAATATGGTATATTATTTATTTAATTTTTAAATTTCTTTTAGGAATGTTTTATAGTTTTCTGTGTAGGTTTGCAAATCTTGTGTTGAATTTATTCCTAGCTATTTGATCTAAATGAATTTTTTTAAACTTTAACAATTGTCTACTGATACTATGTAGAAATATAATTGACTTTTGCATATTAACTTTGCATCCAGAGAACTTGGTACATCAATTAATTAATTTTAATAGTTTATGTGTAGATTCATTTGGATTTCTACATATAATATGTCATTTGGGAATAATGACAGTTTTATTATTTCCATGCTAACTCTTATACATTTTGTTTCTGCATTTCTTTATATGCTTTATTTTACTGTCTGAGACCTTTAGTACCATGTTTAATAAAATACACATAGTAAACAGACTTGTCTCATTCTCAACCTCAGAGGAGAAAACTTAATTTTACTATTTAATATTATGTTAACTATATTTTTAATTAGATAAAGTTCTATTATATTACAGGCTTAAGAGTTCCTTTTTAAAAATTAAGAACAAACATTGAATTGTATAAAATGCTTTTTTCTGCTTCTATTGAGATGATTGTATGATTTTTTTCCCACATCAAATTACTTTTTTTTTTTTTTTTTTGAGACGGAGTCTTGCTCTGTCGCCCAGGCTGGAGTGCAGCGGCGCAATCTCGGCTCACTACAAGCTCCGCCTCCCTGGTTCACGCCATTCTCCTGCCTCAGCCTCCTTAGTAGCTGGGACTACAGGCGCCCGCCACCACGCCCGGCTAATTTTTTGTATTTTTAGTAGAGACAGGGCTTCACCGTGTTAGCCAGGATGGTCTCGATCTCCTGACCTCGTGATCCGCCCGCCTCGGCCTCCCAAAGCGCTGGGATTACAGACGTGAGCCACCGCGCCCGGCCCCACATCAAATTACTTTTATTGATTTTCAGATGTGAAACTAACCTTGCAACTTGATCTTGATACATTGCCTTTTCTATCTAGTGCCGGGTCGCATTTGCTAAACATTTGTGTAGAGTTTTTCTATCTTTAAATGAGAGTTACCGTAATTTTTCTTTTTTGCAGTTAGACCAAGAAGATCACTTCCGTCTCCTGGGGACGGCACTAATTCAAAGCTGGCTGCCCGTGCCTGTGAGGGTCAGTGTCCAGTTCTGTCTTATTCCCACGCTGTGATCTCGGGCCCCAGCTGAAAGCTGGGAGCGTTCAGCAGGCACCTTCCTCCTTGACATGTTCCGAGCATAGGTTTTTGTGCCTCTGTCCCAGGAGAGTGCCAAAAGCTCTGCTGAGTTTCTCAGCTCAATAGCCTCTCTTTTGTTCCGGAACTGGCTGCTGCCCTGCAGGGAAGTGTTGGTCTAAGTGCTGGGTCCGCCTCTCTCGGACTTTCTCTTTGTGGCCTTTCACATTCTCACTGCCTTGGCCATTATTCTCTGCCTTCAGACGTGTTTTTGTTCTTGTCTTTTTCTGTTTTGTCCGGCTCTTCTCATTATTTTCACTGAAAACTTTGGTCCAAGCAATGGTCAGCCCCTCCCCACTTTGCTTTCCATCCCCAGACTCCCTCCTTCCAGGCCTCTTCCCTTCACACCTACATAGTCCAAACACTGTGGATGCGTGATATCGCCGACCTCCTTGCTGCCAGCCTGTGCCCATCCTCCCCAACCATACACCACCAAGTAGCACTGCCTTGCACATGTCACCCTCCTACTTAAAAGCCTGCCATGGAGGCTGGACATGGCGGCTCACCCCTGTAATCTCAGTGCTTTGGGAGGCCGATGCAGGAGGATTGCTTGAGGCCAGGAGTTTGAGACCAGCCTGGGCAACATGGCAAGACAGACCCCGTCTCTATACAAAATAAAACAACTAGCCAGGCAAAGTGGCATGTGCCTGTAGGTCTGACTATGAGAGTGGCTGAGGAGGGAGGATCACTGGAGCCCTGAAGTTTGAGGCTGTAGTGAGCTATGATTGCATCACTTTACTCAAGCCTGGGTGACAGAGCAAGACCCTGTCTAAATTATAAAAAAGAAAAAAAGCCTACAATAATTTTGAGCAGCCTACAGGGTAAAGCCTTCTTTTCCAAGCCTTGAACTCGAGCACTTCAAAAAGATGCTTCCTGGCTGGGCACGGCGGCTCATGCCTGTAATCCCGGCACTTTGGGAGGCCAAGGTGGGCGGATCACAAGGTCAGGAGTTCAAGACCAGCCTTACCAATATGGTGAAACCCCCATCTCTACTAAAAATACAAAAAAAAAAAAAAAAAGAAAAAAGAAAAAAATTTAGCCAGGCATCATGGTGTGTGTGCCTGTAGTCTCAGCTACTCAGGAGGCCAAGGCAGGAGAATTGCTTGAACCTGTGGGTGGAGGTTGCAATGAGCCGAGATTGCGCCACTGCATTCCAGCCTGGGTGACAGAGAGAGACTCTGTCTCAAAAAAAAAAAGATGCTTCCCCTCTACCCCAATGCTGCCATGCCACTGCCCTCACTTTCTACCTCCTCCCTAAAGCAGCCCTCCTTCTAGCTCCATGGGTTTACGTGCAGTTCTCAGAATGCACTGAAGGCTCTTCTGTCTCTGAGCCTTTTCCCCTCTGCTCTTCTGCCTCTAATACCCCTCCCCATCTCTTAGTTGCTTTAGCCCTGCCTTTCTCTTACAACCGATTCAGGTCCCTTTGTCCGTGAAGTTGTGACTTCCATACCCTGTGACACTCCTAGGGTCCCTGGAGTGCCTTCCTGTTGCCTTTGAATGGTAAAACATCAACCTTGAGCTCTTCACTGATTCATCTGTGAGTTGCCTTTTCATGCCCCACCAACCAGCTGGCTGCTCCTCACAGAAGTCATCCCTGAACCCCGTTTGCAGGCTTATCACTAGCAATGACAGATGCTCAGCTGGTGAAGTAAGTACTCTGGATGGTGGCGACTCTGGTGGTGGTTAGAGTTGTCTGTCAAGCGTGTCTCGCTCTCTGCTGTCGAAGCTCAGGGCGGCTACACTCCCCTTCCTTTCTGAAGTGAAGCAGGGCTGTGGTACCAACTTCGGCCAATGGAATAGGGGTAGCAGGAATGCGTATTCCTTCAAGGCAGAGGGTTTATAAGCCTGTGCACGGTTTGCTGCCCCCAACCCCCAGCCCGGGTTCTCTCTTTATTTCCTGTTGGGAATCTTGGAAATACAGGTCAAGATGGAGCCTTCTTCACCCTGGCTCCATGAATATCGACACAAAACAGAAAGCACACCAACCACATTGGTCACATGGCATGAGTGAAAAATCGACTTTTAATCCGATAAGCCACAGAGAGAGGGTTTGATTGTGTCTGTGACCGCAGCCTACCTCACCTCCCGCACCTCATGTGATGCTGCCAGAGATGGTGAGGAGGGGGCTGCTGCTGCTGCTGCTGGTGGAGGAGATGATGAACAGAAGTCAGTAGAGGCGTGGCTCTCACTTCCCATCATGTCACTTGGTCCCCCTTTGCCCATAGCCAGAAGAAAAGATCTTGCCTCTAAATTGTCATAAAAGTCTGCCTAAATAAAGAGGGAACAAAATTTGAGGCAGTAGTTCCCAAACTTGTTCACACAGGAAACAACTTAAAATTGCAGAACCATTTTCTCTTTGGATGATTCCCGAAGACAGCAGTAATGAAAGCTACCTCGGGACACTTGCTTACACCCCAGGTGCCTTCTTCATTATCTGGAACCTTTACAGCAACTTGGCAAGGTGGATGCCATAAGTTCCCATTTTCCAGGAAGGAGCAAAAAGTTTCCAGAGGACAGGTGGCCTGCGTGGAGCCAGGGAGTTGGTGGTCCGTGGGGATGCTGGTCTCTGATGGGGAACTGTTGGCTCCAAAGCCCAGCAGCAGTTCCGTCATTCTGAGTCCCAATTTTAGTATATGAACTAGGAATGAAACAGCCAGCAGGGACCATTTCTGTATTCTAAGTATCTCTATCAAATTGAGAGTAGATGAGCCCATTAAAAATAAACTATTGAACTCAACATAATTAGCTGCATATAATTTTATATTAATTTACTCCTATTTCATTTATTTTGTTTTCTGCTACCTCTTCTTAGCAAACAATTAGTAGAAGCACAAAAGTTTCAAAAACAGCCAGGCACCGTGGTTCACACCTGTAATCCCAGCACTTTGGGAGACTGAGGCGGGTGGATCACCTGAGCTCGGGAGTTCGACACCAGCCTGACCAACATAGAGAAACCCCATTTCTACTAAAAATACAAAATTAGCCAGGTGTGGTGGCCCATGCCTGTAATCCTAGTTACTCAGGAGGCTGAGGTAGGAGAATCGCTTGAACCAGGGAGGCAGAGGTTGTGGTGAGCTGAGATTATGCCACTGCATTCCAGCCTGGGCAACAAGAGCGAAACTCTGTCTCAAAAAAGAAAAAAAAGTTTCAAAAGCGTTTTATAGGAGGAATTTAAACATAGAGAATGTTTTGTGTGTGTGTGTGTGTGTGTGTGTGTGTGTGTGTGTGTTTTGAGACGGAGTTTCACTCTTGTTGCCCAGGCTGGAGTGCAATGGCTTGATCTCGGCTCACCGCAACCCCCACCTCCCAGGTTCAAGCAATTCTCCTGCCTCAGCCTCCCGAGTAGCTGAGATTACCGGCATGCACCACTACGCCCGGCTAATTTTGTATTTTTAGTAGAGACGGGGTTTCCCCATGTTGAGGCTGGTCTCGAACTCCTGACCTCAGGTGATCCACCTGCCTCAGCTTCCCAAAGTGCTGGGATTACAGGCGTGAGCCACCGCGCCTGGCCCCTGTTTTATGTGTTAATTCAATTTTAGCTTGATTTCGAGTAAAATCCCTCTATTATTCCATTCTAGCCCAGGGACCTCCTTGGGTGAGGCCCGGGGACTATGGGAGCACCACTTAAGAACCACTAGTACTTAAAGTATAATAATAAACCAAACCAAAACAAAACAAAACAAAAGAACCACTAGTAAGGCACCTCCATCACCCCCTCCACCCCAACTCTGACCTCACTTCTTCAGAGCACTTCCTCTCAAGCTCCAGTGGAAGGCAATTGGGCCATTTGGTGAAAGTCAGCCCTTAGCTTCTTGGAGAAGGTCCACAGGGAATGGGCAGCTTGAACTGAGACTTTTTTGTGATGTTAAACCCTGGGGATCCTCTAACTGGGCCATTAGCTCATTTCACAAGTACCGTAAGGGTCAGAGAATTTCTAAACTCCTGACCCAAGAGCAGAACTGATGGCCTGGCCTCCTTCCTGTCTTGCTTTTCGCTCTCTGAGAATCTTATTTTATGCACCTAGCCATTATGCCACACGCTTGTGGCAGTTTTCATACCAGGTTCTATAGAGAGGTCATCAATATGGTGTCTGACTCTGCAGTCAGGCGAACAGGCATTCACGTACTTACCCTGCCTCTTATCTACCTGTGTGCCCTTGGACAAGTTATGGGGCCTATTTAAGCCTCAGTAATCTTTTAGTTAAAATGAGGGATACGATTATTTGGAATATTTTGAATATTCAACTAAATAATACCTTTGTAATATTGAATACTCAATGAATGTTAACTATAATTTTAATATTGTTAAACTCTCAGAAAGTATCCAGTGACCAGTTTAAAATTCTTGCTTTCTGCTTATTATGTAACAGGCTTGATTTAAAAACTTATTCATCCATTCATTCAACAAATGCCTGGTGAGCACACAGCCAGGCACTGTGCAGCCCACACGCCTGCATCCGCACATCGAGGGCTCATAGTTTCATGCGCTCCTTCTGTGTGCATCCAACATAGGGGTGAGGTGCACACCTCCGGGCCATATTGGTTCAGGCCCTAAAGTTACTGGTTATCAAGTCATGGGCAACAATGGCAAGTTTTCACCAAATTCCACCTGTGGAATTTGACAGAATTAGATCCAAGGTGAGGGTCTTTAAGACCCGAAACCCATGACATGTGTGCTTGATGACATGTGACGTAAGTCCCATTCCTGTGGCATGTGTGCACGATGGAACGGCCTCTCAGGGACTATTCCCCACCTGCTCTAGAGACTTCACTCTGGTTTCCCTTCATTTCTTCCTGCCTAGAGGTCTCATTGCAGTTCTGGCTTTTGTCTAAGGTCCAAGGGTATGACCTTGAATCTCTGTCTCCCTGTTCCTATAAATGAAGCTTCTGGGGCGTTTACTCTGTCTCAGTCTGCTCTGTATTGAACTGAATTTATTTGCTCAGGAGAAATTGTTATGAGACCAATGGAAGAAACTAGTGGAGCTGATCATGAGCCCTGATTCTCAACATTATTCCTGGGACCTGTGTTCCCAGCTCCCCACCCCACTGCCTATCAGCCTTCATCCTGTCCTCCCTCTGAGCAACTCCCAGTGCAGCTCTCTCACACCCACCTGGGTGTGGACACCAGGAGAATCCAACTAAAGCACCCATTTCCCCACCCCTCTCCCTGGGGGATTTTCATCAGTACTAATATTTCCATTAGGGAAATATTAATGAAGTAACATTAGGTCTCCAAGTGACCTCTGTGCCTCAGTTTTGTCAGAGGTTTTTTGGGTTTTCTTTTTCCCTTTCTCCCCAGAAGTCGAGCTCAGCTTGACACTAAGCTCATCATTCTCTGGGCTGATGCAGCATTTGTGTCTGATGTTGATCTCCCCCTTCTGTTTCCTATGAGGAGCCTCAGGGTGGGGTGAGTGCTGGTGAGGCGCAGGGCAGGTGTGGATGCTTGAGCAGCCCCTGGTATCGGCTCAGCCCGAAGAAGCCTGAGTGATAAGAGAGATGCCTGGGGGGTTCCCCCTACAGCCCCTCTTGCTCACCTGACAGGATGGCAGGAGAGACAGGGTTGGGGTGGACATGGGAACACCTGCCACCCCAGGCTCGGCATCACAGAAGCTCAGCATGTCCGCCAGAGGCTTGCTGGCTCTGAAGTCACCGTGGAAACCACTCTTCCAGCTTTCTCCCGAGGGGCTCTCTGGCTGCACCTCAACTGAGTCTCACCTAATAATCTCTTATTGAAAACACCTGGTTTCACTCTCGGTGCTGAAGACAAGCCCAGGGAGCCTCACACCCACGACAGCCAGAGATGAGAGGAGGGAAAGGCTCTTCAGGGAGCAGGAGCGTGGGAAAAGGTGTGGCCCAAGAGGGGAAGCAGCCCACTCTGGAAGGCATTGACTTTGGGGTTCAGTTTGCTCTCTCTGCTCCTGCGTGACTTTGGGCTGTCACTTCTTAGAATGTTAGTGTTCCCATCTGTACGATGGGGCAACTCATGTTGTGCTGTTAGAGTTAAATGAGATAGTGCAGACCCTCCTGAAGAATGAAAAGAATGAGATAGTGCAGACCCTCCTGAAGAATGAAAAGAAAAGAAAAGAAAGGAAGAAAAAAAAAAGAAAAGAAGAGAGGCTGCCCCATAAACCCCAGTGGTCTTGGCCAGCTGACACATGGCCGTCACTGAGCAGAGAGAATCGACAAGAAGGAAAGAGACACCAGGGAAAGAGCCCAGTGGGGAATGAAAGGCGTCCATGACGAGATGCTTTAGAAGACACAGAAAGGCAAGCCCAGGCCTCTTCTGCCTAACAAAAGCTATGGCACACCATACCTTGGCCAGGGAGTTAGCTCTCCTGACTTCCTGCCCTCCCTTGGGCCTGGGCTCTGCTCCCTGCCTTCCCTGGCCTCAGCTTCCAGCCCAGTCCAAGAGCACAGGACTGGAAGGGGCTGAACCACTGTCATCTGAGCCCCCATGTTCCTGAGGCCCCAGGGCGCTAGTTCTATAGTAGTCCGACATGTACATGGCTCCAAGCCCTGCCTAGGCTCGGAAGCCTCTGTCCTTTTTCAGAGCTCTGGGCTTCCTGCCTATGCTCCCTTCCTTATGCCCCATTCCAGCCAGGGGGAACCAAATGCTGGAGACAGCGGAGGGCCAGGGATGGAGACAGTGTGCCCCGCTGTGCTCTTGGAGGCCTGCATTCATCTGCACAGGGAGCACTGAGGGCCCTGCCTCCCACCTGCCCCTCCCCACCTCCTTGTCCCTGCCGCCTCCCCTTCCCTCTCTTTGGCCCACTGCACACAGCACACACCAAACCTGATTTTCATGTCCAAAAGCCTCCTGTACTGCTCATGGCCTAGTTCCATTTCTGGGTTTCATTAGTTCCCTGTCACCCATGTGGGGAAAGGAGAGCTGCAGACCATCATGCCGGTCATTTACTGGGCAGGCAGGAGATGCTTTGAGAGATGAATATATGTTCATCTGATGAGATTAAATATATATATATATATTTTTGTGAGACAGAGTCTCACTCTGTCGCCAGGCTAGAGTGCAGTGGCGTGATCTCGGCTCACTGTAACCTCTGCCTCCCAGGTTCAAGTGATTCTCCTGCCTCAGCCTCCCAAGTAGCTGGAACTACAGGCGCCCGCACCATGCCCAGCTAATTTTTGTATTTTTAGTAGAGACGGGTTTTCACCATGTTGGGCAGGATGGTCCGATCTCTTTACCTCGTGATCTGCCCGCCTCGGCCTCCCAATAAATACATTATTATCTCATTCATTCATTCATTCACTCATTCACTCATTCGTTCCAAATGCCTTTTCGTTGCTTTGCCTGGTTCTGGGTGCCATGACAGAGACTTGTCCAGGATTCTTTAGGGCTGAGAGCCCTAAGTTGCTCCCGTGTTAAAGACATAGACAGCACCCAAAACGTGGAGTTCAGAGATGAGTAACCTGCCCAGGTTGAAGTGACACTCTGAAAGATGCCCTCATGGAATTTATTCAGAGCTCGAGACCTGGCTTTCCGGTAGCAGTTTGGTTCTCTGCAGGTGGCATGCAGTGCTGGGCTTGTGGAGAGTTTCTCTGAAGCTCCTGGGGGACTCCTGTCTATTCCCACAGACTCTCCTCTCCCAGCTGGGCAGCATCTGGTTGTCCCTGTGGTGTCTTGTGGTGTGGTCCTGAAGACATGGCCCCGATGGAGAGTTGTTCATACCACAGTCCAAGCTCTATTAATAAAACACTGCTCAGACGTACTGTCATTGAAGACCATCAATAAGTGATTTCTCTAAACCTGCCACACAGTTACTGGCACCATCTTCCCAAACACAGACCAGTCCTGTGACTGCCCCTGACATCCTGAGATGGTTAGGATGAAGAAGACAGACATGCATGTGGCCTGCAAATTGAGGCTAGGGTGGAAGCCCATGTGTGTGTATTATGATGTAGTGTGTGTGTGTGACGGCGTGCAGTATATGTATAGTCTCAGAAGAGTCATCTCACCCCTTGGTCTCAGGGTCGCCATCCATGTCTGTGATTCTTCAAACCCAGGTATTTTTATTTTTATATTTAAATGCTAATCAGAAGCATAGGTCACATTTCACACAGAAGAATCTGAATCCCACTTCTGAGCCCCGCTGCTTATTCCTCTGTGATACCTGGCACCAAGAAATGGTGTTCCCTGTTTCCGACAGGCAGCTCTAACACCTACCTACTGGCTTAGGTGCTTTTTGTTTCTAATTGAATTGCCACTGGAAAACCCACGCCCAAGCTTGTGATCTAAATCTGTTTTGTTTTCTTCGTTTCTGTCCTTTTCTGAAAGGCTGTGGATTTTCCGTGTAAATTACACCTTTTTCTTTTTAAGCTGATTCCTTTTAGGGCTGTGATGACAGGATCGCCTCCTTACTCCTTAAGATCATTCCACTGTCCCCTGGATTTCTGGTCCGCAGGGCTGGGGGAGGAGAGGAGAAGGGAGAGGAAACGGGGAGGGAGTGCTGGCCCCACCTGCTCCTGCCTGGTTCTTCACCCACTCCACACCCACATCTGCTCTCTTCCTGGCCTTCATCTAAAGGAGCCCGCAAGGAAGAGTGTGGCGAACATTCATTCTTGACTGTAACGGATAAGGAGACTTTATCTGCAAACGTACAGAGGTTTTATATAAGGGTCAAGGCCTCAATTTAAAAGAAAATATCTCTAGAGATTTTCAGGCCTTGAAAGCTTTGTATGTGGGGAAGGTATGTTTGTGTGTGTGTGCTATGGTGTGTTGTGTGTGTGTGTGTATGTTAGGGTATGGATGTATATGTGTATTATGTGGAATGTGTGTGTTATGGTGAGAGGTATGTGCCTATGTGTTATGGGAAGGTGTGTGTGTGCTGTGGTGGGGGTATGCGTGTGTGTATGTGTTGTGGTATGGGGGGGGTGTATGTAATGTGTTGGGCATGAGGTGTGTGTTAAGATGTGAAGTGTGTATTAGAATGTGGAGTGTGTGTCTTATAATGTGCGTGTTATGGTGTGGGATATGTACTGTGGTGTGGGGTGTGTATTTTGTTTGTGTGTGTGATGGTGTGTGTTTTTTGGGGTGGGGTGTGGGATGTGTGTTATGCCGTGGGGAGTGTGTGTGTTATGGTGTGCAGTGTGGTGTATGGGTATGGTGTAGGGTGCGTGTGTGTTGGTGGGGTGGGTCAGGGTGGGAGATGAAGGTAGTAGGAAGAAGGTTTTCTTTAGCCCTGGAAATCAAAGCATCTTCGTTCATTAAACATTCATTGTGCACTTATGTGCCAGGAGTGAAGTATAAACACTGGCGATTTAGGAATGAAATCCTACCCTCATTTTGTGCCCAATTAGTAAGACCATTAGAGCCTCTTGTGACATTTAGGTTTTTTGTTTGTTTGTTTTAAATTTACATGTTAATTGCTTTACTTGGAAACAATTCTGGAATTCTGCTTTCTGGCATCAAGAGAGCGCTTAGAAGTTCTTCCTAAAGACACTTACAAGGTCCTTCATTCAATCAACAATCATGCACTACAAGCCACTGAATGCCCAAGTGTGCCCTAGTCTGCACATAGCCTATATGCTACGTGCAGCAGGCAACAAGACAAATGGGAGGTAGCTGTGCTACCCTCAGAACTAACAGGAATGTGGATGGCCCCAGGGAAGCTCACTGGCCAGCCCTGCTCTCTGCTTCCTGTCCCCAGACAATCTGTGTTCCCAAAGCTTGCTTCCATCCCTTGCTAAGCAGCTAGCTGTCAAATCTCCATGTCCTCCACTCTTTCCCCGAGTAAGGAAAGCTCTTCCAGGGACCCTGGAAAAGCATGTCCCAGCCAGCAGCCCGCCTTCTCTCTGCTCAGTGTCTTCCAGGTTGTTTGGCCTCACTTGTGCCTCGGCCGCTTTTGCTCTGCCCTGATTTGCTGACGCAGCGTGTCAGGAGTGAGTCTGGCCCAATGCCTAATCTCAGCCAAATGTTTGACTCCGGCTCAGTTCCCAAAGGTTCCCTGGAGGGAAAGCAGAGTAACAAGTGAGACCCATCAAGGCATTTTCTCTGGAGGGAAGCTTGTGGCGACCTTCAGGTGCGGTACAACACCACACAGCCTCTGGGTTCCACCCAGAGCTAGCTGAGAAGTGACCATCTCGGGGACACTTTGCATTTCCAGATGGTGACTGTAGTGGCCACCTTCCAAACTCACTGCTATGAAGCACCAGCTTGTCAGCCTCTGGACTCACCCCTAGCAGAGCTTCCGCCTTTCCTGAGCCCAGTGGGGTCAGACACCTGGCAAAGGAAGGAAAAAAGGGCGCAGGTGTGTGTCTGCCAGGGGGCTGCACAGCGTGGATTCCAGGATGCTGTTCTGCTCCTTGTGCAGGAGTTGAGTCGGGGATGGGTAGGTAGAGGGCTGGGGCAGAAGTGAGGGGTGCCGATGCTTAGTGGAGGGACCAGGTGCCAGGCACCACTCTGTGCCACACCACCCACCGCAGCACGCAGTGGAGTTTGGGTCTTCAGCTTTGTAGATACCCAAATGGGAGGGTTCTGCTTTTGCATCCTCCCTCGTGCAGCACCAGGTCAGTGCGCTGATGAGGCCAGTCGGGGCTGGGGCCCCCTCCTGCAGGGGAAGTGGAGGAAGGGACAGTTAGTGTATGGGAAGATGGGTTGCAGCCCAGTGGGGGAAGGGACTGGAAGTTGTTGGAGCAGAAGAAGTTGAGAGGAATCAGCACTACTCTCCCTAGCTATCAATTTAACTCTTTCATTGATACGTTAACTCACATACTTATCCAACAAGCATCTGCTGAAGCCAGACACATTGTAGGCACTGAGGGAAAATGCCAGCCCTCTAGATCAGGGCTTTCAACTTTTAAAATCATAATCCACAATATACCGTAAGACATAGCTTTTACGTGGTGATCCAGCGCACATACAACTATTCACACACAGAGACACATGCAGACACACACACATCCACACAGACACACACGCATTCACAGAGACACATAATACACAGACACACACATTCACACACACACTCACACAGACCCACACACAAACACACATTTGCACACACCCATTCACACAGAGACATATACAGACACACAGAAACACACATTTGCACAGACAGAAGAAACAAAAGTTCTACAAAACAAGCTGGTCCATACCATGCGTGACGCATCTTGATATGTTCTCTTCTTTCATGCTGATCACCACACACTATGGGCCCTTCAGCATTCTGAAGAATGCTGCTCAAGCCAACAGTTTCATCAGGATGAGAACCATGTGCACAGATATTTACAGCTCTAGGTTCTGCAGTAGAGGTTTCTCCTGAGCTGGGAACTGGAGCAGGGAGGCTGGGAGGGGCCACCTGGCTCAGCTGGAGCAAGTGATGAAGGGCGACCCAGGCCATCTGACAGAGGAGGTAGAGCTGGGTGCCGCAAGCCAGCTGGAGGTCTGGGGAAAGGCACCCAGTTATGCGTGGAGGGAAGACTTGGCCCAGAGGTTCCTTCGGATCTTTACTACTTAATTCTTAGAAAGCCCAGTGCTTCTCGGGTCCCCAAGGCCTCAGCACGGGATTCCAGTCTCCTGTGGAATGTGTGTTATTTTGGCTGTGTTTAGATAGAATGAACTGTTCACATAAGTATCATTAAATTATGCATAATAGACATCACATATCAGCCCTCTAGCTGATATTGAGCTATACAGTCATGCACTGCATAAAGATGTTTTGTCAATGACAGGCCACATGTATGACAGTGGTCTCATAAGATTATAATGAAGCTGAAAGATTCCTCTTGCCTAGTGACGTCACAGTGGTCATAACATTGTAGTTCAATGCATGACTCCCATGTTTGGGCGATGTTGGTGTAAACAAACCTACTGTGCTGCCAGTTACATAAAAGCACAGCACATGCAAGTGTGTACAGTACATAATACTTGATAATGATAATAAATGGCGACATTCCTCCCTTGTGTATTTACTATATGCTATAATTTGGATGTTTGTCTCCCCAAACCTCATGTTGAAATTTGATCCCCAATGTTGAGGCCCAATAGGAGGTGTCTGGGTCATGGGGGAGGATCCCTCACGAATGGCTTGGTGCCCTCCTTGCAGTAATGAGTGTTTCTCATTCTATTCCTTCTGTTGAGGGCTGGTTGTTAGAAAGAGTCTGGTACCTTCCCCGTCTCTCTCTTGCTTCCTCTCTCACCAGGTAGTCTGCCCGTGCTGGTGCCCCTTCACCTTCCACCATGATTGGAAACAGCCAGAAGCTCAGCCGATGCCAGCACTGCACTTCTTATGCAGCCTGCAGAACAGACAGCCAAATAAACCTCTTTAAAAAAGCAAATTACCCAGCCTCAGGTATTACCTTATAGCAACACAAATTAATGAAGACACTATCTCATTTTTTTATGATTATTTTAAAGTGTACTCCTTTTTCTTACAAAAAAATATTAAGCATAAAACAGCTTCTGGCAGGTGCTTCAGGAGACATCCAGAAGAAGGCATCTTCATCATGTGATATGACAGTTCCATGCGTGTTATTACCCTGAAGACTTCCCAGTGGCATGAGATGTGGTGATGAAAGACAGTGATATTGATGATTCTGACCCTGTGTAGGCCTAGGCTAATGTGTGTGTTTATGTTTTAGTTTTTAACAAAAAAGTTTAAAAAGAAAGAAAAATAAAAAATTAAAATTTTTGACTGGGCACAGTTCTCACACCCATAATCCCAGCACTTTGGGAGGCCAAGGCAGGAGGATAGCTTGAGGCCAGGAGTTTGAGACTAGCCTGGGCAATATAGGAAGACCTCATCTCTACAAAAAAAAAAAACAGCTAGGTGTGGTGGCATGCAACTGTAGTCCCAGCTACTCGGGAGGTTGACGTGGGAGGATCACTTGAGCGCAGGAGTTCGAGGCTGCAATGAGCTGTCATCGTGCCCCTGCACTCCAGCCTGGGCGACAGAACCAGACCCCATCTCTTTAAAAAAATGTAAATAAAAAAGTTTATCAAATAGGAATATAAAGAAAGAAGATATTTTTGTACCACTGTACAATGTGTTAGTGTTTTAAGCTAAGTGCTATTAAAAAAGAGAAAAACAAATTTTAATTAAAAATTTTATAAAGGCTCAGCATGGTGGCTCATGCCTGTAATCCCAGCACTTTGGAAGGCCGAGGTGGGCAGATTACCTGAGGTTGGGAGTTCCCGACCAGCCTGACCAACATGCTGAAACCCCGTCTCTACTAAAAATACAAAAATTAGCCGGGCGTGGTGGCAGGCGCCTGTAATCCCAGCTGCTCAGGAAGCTGAGGCACGAGAATCGCTTGAACCTGGGAGGTGGAGGTTGTAGTGAGCTGAGATCAGGCCACTGCACTCCAGCCTGGGCAACAGAGTGAGATTCTGTCTTAAAAAAGAAAAAGTTTATAAAGTGTGTAAGTTATAGTAAGCTAAGATTAATTTATTATTCAAGAAAGAAAAACATTTTAAAGTACATTTATAGTAGCCCTAGTGTCTAGAGTTTTTAAAGTCTGCCGTAGGGTATAGTAGTGTCCTAGGCCCTCACATGCACTCACCGCTCACTCACTGACTCACCCAGAGCAACTTCCAGTCCTGCAAGCTCCATTCACAGTAAGTGCTCTCTACAGGTGACCATTTTTTATCTTTTGTATTGTATTTTTACTGTCCCTTTTCTGTGTTGAGATATGTTTAGAAACACAAATACTTACCCTTGTGTTACAACCGCCTGCAGTATTCAGGTCAGTAACATGCTGCACAGGTTTGGGGCCTTGGAGCAATCGGCTATACCACGCAGCCTAGGTGTGCAGAAGGCTACACCATCTGGGTTTGCGTAAGTATACTCTGCGATGTTTGCACCACCACAAAATTGCCTAATGACACATTTCTCAGAGCATGTCCTCATTGTTAAGCCATGCCTGACTGTACTGAGCTATATTGTATGGTGTGGTTCATATTACATGTTGTACATTGCATTGTACATCATACTGTATACTGTGTGTTATATGAGGAGCACATTAATTTGGAAGTACTTTATCTGCTCAATTGCACCAGCATTCCATAATAATCATGCAGGATTGACTTTATTATTGCTGTTGTTATTAAAGAGGGCCTGAGGAAGAACTCCCGCACAAGCCACCTTGCCTGCCTAAACCATCTGAATAAATCTGCGTCTTGGTGGACGGGGCTTTGGGGTGAGGTCCTGTGAGTGATGAGGCCCTCTCTGCCCTGGGATGGTGAAGTCCCATCTGCCATGGGGTCAGGATCGGGTGGGATCTGAGTGCACCCCGAAGCTGCTCCGTCCCTGGGAAAGGGGCTTTGCTTGCTCTGCCGGGGGAGGGAGCACAGACAGAGCAGCCTCCATGGTAGGGGCCAGGTCCTCACTCCTGGATGGGGGCAAACCAGCTCTTCTCTGGGGGGGCTAGGCAGGGAGGAACAGGCGAGCACCTGGAGAAGGCAGCCAGGTGACACCCCCCAGGATGACCCATCTGCCCCTGGAGTGTACATCATCCTGCCTGTCTCCTGATGGATTTCCTGCCTTCTGGGGCCCACCTCCAACCCCAGGCTGTGTTTCCTTCCTCTGAACTCAGGAAGCACTGAAAGTCTCCAAACCATTCCGCTGGCACTGCTCATACTGAATATTCTTAAATTACAAAAGTAAAAAATAAAAAAAAAGTCTAAGACCTGAATTATCAACCTGACCGTCAGCTCCTTTAGGGCAAGGCAATGACTTTTATATGTCTCTTTATTCAGATGTGTCCCCCCAGCAGAAGACAGCTCCTCACATGCTCTCCTTTTGATTGTTAAATTCATAACTGTGCACAGGGTGGATTGCAGCAGTGAGTTCAAGGCAGAACAACAAACAATAATGGCACGTGTATTCCAGGCAAGAGGGAAGCACAAGGCCGAGCATGGTGCCAGCTTGCCTTTAACAGGTACAGTGCTGCGGGGAGGCAGCTAGTGCTGGGACCCAGTAGGGATAATGGGATAACAAAGGTGCTCCTGCATTGTCAGATGCACAGAGAGACATAGCCATCAGTGGTATGCTTTCTCTCCCACTTATTTACCTCCTTTCTGATTTCCCAAAGCTATTTTTGTTTTATTCCCAAACATGACACTTTTCTCCCTTTCTTATTTAGTTAATGAAAACAGAAACAATAACTTAATTATGTGATAGACAGTAAAGAGAATACTAAAGAAGTAGATATTTGACACAAGCTTTGAAAATTAAGTTGAAAAGAAAGAGTACTGCTGTTAATAATCAGCAGCTGTCAGTGAGAGCTATCACTTGAACAACTATCACAAAATCTCCACTCCTCAAAACAGCCCTGCAGTGTAGACATTATCCCCATTTTAGAGGCGAGGGAGTGCCAGCTCAGGGAAGCTACCCTCACAGGCTGGTAGATGTCCACACTTGAATCAAGGGTGAACCAGACCCCCATATGCCCACAAGCACACACAAGCTGATGTGGACTCTGGGAATGAATGAAATTCATTGTAAAATTAGCATATGCAAAAAATTAGCAGCAAAATGCTGCTGCTGCTGCTGCAAAAAAAAATGCATATAATGTAATATACTTTCAATCCAAACATCTTCTGTTTTAATGATCTGTTTTAGCCATGGTTTCACCTTGGAGGGATCTGCTCCATTCATAAAGCAGAGAATTGGGCTGCTGCAGAAGCAGGGAAGCAGGGTTGAACTGGTGGGAGGCAGTGGTGGGGTGGAGGCCTGGTTCCTTGCGTTAGTACACCTGCCACTCCAGATTCCTTAGGACAAGTAAGCCCAGCCTCTGTAAGGTCCCACCGGCCTCCAAGATCCAGGAGCACTGAGGAGGTGCCAGGGGGCAAAAAGGCATCAAGGGACTCAAGGCAAAGAGAGGCTTGGCAATTGTGACGGGTCAGGGTGGGGCAGGCTCCCCTGGTGGCTACAGGCTCCTCATGCTCCACGGAGGGGCAGGAGGACAAGCTGACTCAGGCCAAATGAAGAGGAAGAAAGGAGGAAATGTGGCCACCTATGGATCCTGCCAAGAGATGTGATGGACTTCTCTTCATGAGCCCAGAGAAACTTGGGTTCCAGCATATGCTCCGGTGAGGACCCAGCACTCAGCATATAGTGCCACTGATGTCAGTCTGGCATCATGCGCCAGGGCCTGCACCAGCTGCTGGGCACACAGTGGTATATGACAGAGTCCCTGCTCTCCTAGAGCATGGGGTCCAGTTGGGGAGACAGACACACAACCAATCATGATTTGCTGTCTGCTAAGATACCGCCATGCACAGGGGGCTACATACAGGTGTTCAGAGAAGGAATCCCAAACCAGAGGATTGGAGGAGAATAGATGCCTCATGAATCTCAAAAGACTGGCAGAGGCTAACCAAGCAAAGAGAGTGGAAAGAGCACTGAGGCATGGGGATGGCAGGTGTGGGCAAAGGTGCAGCACATGTGAGGAGGAGTGTCTCAGTCTGCTCTGGCTGTGTAACAAAGCACTGCAGACTGGGGGGTGGTAAACCATAGAGATGTACCATCTTACAGTTCTAGAGGTTGGAAGTCCAAAATCAAGGTGTTGGCAGGCTTGGTTCCTCCTGAGGCCTCTCTCCTTGGCTTGTAGGGAGACAGCACTCTGCCATCTTGCTGAGTCCTCACATGGTCTTCCCTCTGTGCATGTCCGTGTCCTCATCTCCTCTTCTTATAAGGACACTGGTCATATTAGTCTAGGGCCCACCCTCATTACCTCATTTTAACTGAATTTCCTTAAAGACTCTGTCTCCAAGTACAGTCCAATTATGAGGTATGTGGGGTTAGGACTCCAGCCTATAAATTACTGGGGGACATAATATGGCTCATAAGAGTGGGGAAGTGCAGGAGGCTGGTGCACCCAGCGGGAGCTGAGTCTGGAGGCACAAGTCCCGCCAGACCCAGAGCCTGGAGAGACATGCAGAAGGCTCCCACTTTGCCCTGTGGAGGGCAGGGATCTTGGGGGTCACAGCTTGAGACTCAGCTCTTGCACTTGGCAGCTGTTTGAACTTGGGCATGCTGCTTTACCTTGGAGTCATAGTTCCCCCTTTGGGAAAATCAGGATAAAACTATCTTGTGGGATATGTTGTGAAAATTAAAAGAAAATGTTTCTAAAGCAATGTCACGGGATCTGTCAGGCAGTAGGCATATCGGATGGGAAATGTGATGAGGAGAAGCATGAACATGGTGCGGGAGCTCGGAGGAGGCTTTACCAGGCCCGGCAGCCAGGTGGCCGTTGTGCCCTAGGACAGGCGGCACATGGGCGCGTGGGGAGACCCCAGAGGGCTCTTAGGACTGTCTGTGCATCAGGCAGTGCCATCACAGTGTGATCTGTGGATCACCCGCTTGAGCATCGCCCTATGAAAGCGCAGATCGCAGGCCCAGCTCAGCCATCCTGAGTCCGGATGGAACCTGTGTCTAAACTGCTTCCTAGGAGCTCAGTCTGAGAATCATCCTGGAGACCTGCAAATCTGAGGGGTGGAAAGAGGAAGAGGAACAGAAACAGAGCGAATGCAGATCTTATTGTTCGTGCTTCTTACCCAAGGCCTGGGGTAAGCCTTTTCCCAAAAGAGTGGAATGGGGAGGCCCATCTCACTGCACTGCCCGCTCCTGTGACACTGAGAGCGCAGTGGGCAGAGACCCCCAAGAGTCCTGCAGGGCAGACAGGCAGACGTCTGCTCTGTTACTAAGCCATGCTGTGCACCTCCAGCCAGCAAAGTTGAGCTTTTGCCCAGAGTTGGCAGCTCCCCAAGAATCAGACTTGTGGAGAACATGGTAAACGCTGGTCTGCTTATTTTGGGATTGAGGGATTGTGAGGGATCGTGCTTATGTCTCCTTCCAGAAGTTTAATGAACAAAATATTACCATTAGTCAAGCCTACGTGACCACCAGCTGACCAGGACACCTGCAGTTCTTTAATTAAGCTCTAGAGATGAGACATCCCCTACCCTGTGTCCCCTACGGAGTAGTGACCAGACGAGTTAATTTGCCTTGAGTCGTTAACCTGAGAGGACCATTAGCTCTCTGGGAAATGATTTTAATGTGAACCTACTACCTTTTGCTAAGAAAAGGAAGGCTCTGTCCCTTTCACACCCAGCTCAAGAGGAACAGCCAGTCTTAAGTCAAATGCCCATTTCTCTAGTGTGAAGAGTAAAGATGACAGATGTTCACAGGCAACCTCAGTTAGTTCCTTCCCTTGTCGAAAAATGCTGGACTCTCTCACTCCCCCCCCACCCCCCCCCACACGCATACACACACACAGGCGCAGGCACATGTGCACACACACACACACACGAACACAGACATATCATTCGTGTGCGTGCGCACACACACACTCGTATCTTCCGGAGGCCAGCTTTGACACACATCACCTTCTCATAGTAGATGAATTATTGGGTCTATTGCTGCATTCATATCCTCCCTAATTAAATTCTGCTAGCCTGGAATTGTGATCCTTTGGTTTATCAGGAAGCTACGCTCTGCTGTTATTTGCCCTTATGTTACATACAAAGAGAGTGTTAAAAGCTACTTCATGATATACACATCTGACAGGGGGCCAATTAAACACACTGGACCAGGCTGCCTGTTTTGTGCCATTGATGCTGGCTGCAAATTACAAATGAATTTATGCTTTTCATTTCATGCTCAGCATGGTGCTTTCTCAGCAATGTTTCATAAGCATAAGGCCAGGTGCTTTTGTGTGAAAGGAACAAAATGAAATTTCTTTAAAAATGCAAATCCTAATCCAGACTGCCCACCCCTACCCTGGCTTATCCTGACTGGTGGGTATTTACTGTCTCCTGTTCCTGGGGGGTGCTACCTGGCTCTGAAGAGGCCTTTCCAGGGCAGTCTTGAGCAGGGTCAGGGAGGGGTGCTGTGGAGGGGCAACCTCCAGCCGTCCCGTGTGGCCAAGAGCTTTCAGAGACAGGGTGCCCCTGCCACCAGACAGTGAGGAGTTGCAAAAGAGGCAGCTATGGGGGTCTCTGTGCAGCACTCAGCGGGAGGATCCCCAACTCTGTGGCCACGCATGACTGTTGGAGGGTGGGACATCAGCTGAGACTTCCTTACTCAAGCAGAACAGAAATATTTTCATAATATGGACTCATTTAAGGTAAAAAATGTGCCAGGCCTTATAAAAATATAAAGATGAATCTAGTTTCTGACCTTCAGCAGAGAGACACACAGATACACCAAACGGGCAGAGGACACAGCAGGAGCTGCAGGCTGCCTGTGCTGGCATTGTGGAGGGACCTCCCCCGCACCCCGGTAAACGCGGAGAGCAGGGTACTCTCTAGGGCAGGAGCCAGCAAGCTTTTCCTGCAAAGAGCCAGGTGGTCTACATTTCAGGCTGTTGCAGGCCTCGGGGTCTTTGTCGCAACAAGTCAACTCTAACGTGATAGAGTTAGAAGGCATCTATAGGATGAGCATGGCTGTGTTCCAATACAATTTTATTTACAAAACAGGTGGTGGGCTGTGGGCGGCCGACTCCTGAGCTAGAGGGTTGGATCATTGCACATGGTTGCAGTCCATTTTCAAGATATTTTAAAGGTAAATTGTTATTTCTAGCTCTCTGTCTCTTCTGATACTATTAATCTACTAGAATAATTTTTTACAATGATTTTTTAATTATGAAAGACATACATGATCACTATATAATTATCAGAAAATAGAGGTAAACAAAAAGAAAACAGTCACATTTCTGAGCTAGTCTTCATCTTGCCTCTTCCTTTTCTCTACTCGCAAACATCCCTCATGGTCCCACCCACATGCAGGGAGGCTCAGCTGGCAGGAGAGGAGGGAGGGCCTGGTGACCTCGGCTGGCCCCTCATGTGCTGCTGGTCCATAGTGAGGGTGGAGCCTCACCAGTGTGGCCACAGGCATGCTCACAGGGAGCTGTCGAGTTTCTGCTGAAGTCCGAAGTGACCCACTTCAACCCGCCATGGTCTCTGTGAACCCTGGGATGGAGTCATTACTCTCCACATGGTTGGAATTCCTACTGGGGTGACTTATGAAAGTGGAACAGGCCCAGCTCCATTCAGTCAACACGTGTTAAGCACTGATGGGTGCCAGGCATTGTTCTAGGCACTGTGGCCAACAAGACAACCTAGAAGCTTTCATTCTTGTAGGGGAGGTTAATTATAAACAAATCAACAACAAAAACTATAAAAATGGTTATCTAAATGTTGGATGGTAATGGTTGCAAATAGTAGAATGGGAAGTATTTGGCAGCACGGATGAGATGGAGTGATGCCCTCCCATTGGGTGGTAAGGGACTCCTCCGAGGAAGGGAGGAGGACAGGCGGGTCTTGAAAACACGGAGGGCAGAGCATTCTAGGCAGACAAAGAGTACATGCAAAAGTCCTTCAGCAGCACCGTGTTCATGCCCTTGAGGACAGACAGCAGTCCCACAGGCTGGATCAAACGGACTCACGGCAAAAATGAAAGAAGTTAGGTAGGAAGTCAGGGCCTTTAGACTGTGGCGAGGAGCTGAGATTTTATTCAAGAGCCATGGGAAGCCAGCCGAGGATTTTAGGCAGGAAAGCTGCATAACCTGACTCCCATTTGTGAAAGCTTGCTCCTGCTGTTTTTGGAGAACAGACTGCAGGGACGAAAGGGAAAATGAGGAGACTCTTTGGCGGCTGCAGGAGGAGGTGCTGATAGCATGGACGCCACTGTTCTGATGTCCCCAGAGATGGGGAGCTGGTAGGCTTTTCTCTCAGCTCTGGTAGGGGGTGGTGCCATTCACTGAAATGGAAAGATGGAGGAGGTTAGGGTGGGCTGGCGCAGAAAACAAGCGTGGGTTATGGACAGGACAAGCCGGAGGTGCCTGTTAGCACCAAGAAGAGTCAGGAGCTCTAGCAAGAGGACTTTTTAACCAGTCTCAACTGAACACCTGCAGTGTGCCAGGCCCAAGCTGGCCCCATCTGCGGTGACTGCCCATGCCCTCTCATCCTCCTGTCCATGTGCAGCCTGACCCTAGCACCACCCGCTGGCCTGGGATTATCAGGCTGAGCCTGCCGCCATGAAGTCCTCCAGCCTCACCTGACCAGCCCCAGGCAGGATGTGGCGCATTCACGGGTAAACAAGTGAGGGAGGGACACTGGAGCACCCCACAGAGCATCTGGGGCCCTGCAAGGCCATCGCAGGCCCAGCTGTCTCTCTGGAAAAATGCCATGGACACTCTTGATCAGTCAGATGTTGGCAGTGACACTGCTGTCTTGCTTCATTGCATTTGCAAAATAAGCAAAGTTTGTAGTGCTCCCTGTCTTCTACGTGTGAGCGGGTGTGTTTCTCATCAACTCACTGCAGTTACAAAACCAATTAGAGCTGTAAAATGTGGAATGGCCTCTGTGTGAACAGCCTGGGACATCCTCAGAGCTCCAGAGCCCACTGCTTTGATGTCAGAGCTGGGGGTGGGGTGGGGTGGAGTGGAAAGGCCATGGGAAGGGAGCCGGCTCTGAAACACGTGGAGGCCAAGGTGGTAAGGTGGTAGTGATGTGGAGGCCTTGCCGATCAGGGGCCCACACACCGCACCCTGGCAGGGGAGGGCCGGGGGCTTTCTGTGCCTCACCCACAGATAAGAAGGAAGTGGGAGCCAGTGCCAGTCCCTCAGCTTCCTCCTTGCAGGCCTTCTCTGCTTGCCCTTTCTCCACATTTGGCCCAGACATTGAAGCTATGAGCCACATGGCAGGAAGTTCACAACTGCTGTGCTGACAGAAGCCAGAAAGGAGGCTGTTTTCTGGAAGCCTGCCCTGTGCAGGCCTGACAAGAGCTGGGGGAAGTTAGGAGGCCCTTGATGGGACCACGGCCATGCATGACACTGGGACCTCTTGCACTAGGAAGACATCCTGTATCATAAAATTCAAGGAACTCCGGAGCTGGCAAGGACTGTGGCAGTCATAACGTTCAATGTCTTCATTTCCTGGGTCTATGACGAAGACCCAGGAAAGTGAGGTGACTTTTCCAGAAGAGTGACAAAGGCAGAACAAGAACCAATTTCCTGACTCTCTATCCCAGAGCCCTTCACCAGTGACGGTGGGGATGCTCGCAAGCCTCCCAGGCCAGGGCTGCCCAGGCTTACTCAGGTCAAGGCCGTCAGAGGAAAGAATTATCTCTGCACCACCCCTGTCGCAAAGGGACAAGGCTGCTCTCAGATGGAGGCAACCTGCTGGGGACTCCTGCCACCCCAGCCCTGCTGGGCTCACCACACCCACTGGGTGTTGTATACACGCGTGTGTGTGCATGTATGCATGTGCATGCATATGACTGGGATCACTGATTCTGTGGCGTTCCAAGTCTGCGTGGTTTCTTAGAATCCATTATTGATTGAGGGGCCTGAAGAAGATGAAACCCATACGTTGCACCGCAAAGTTTTTTGCACTTCCTTATTCCAGGAGATGAGTTCGCAGATCCTTTCTTTGGCGAAAGGAAAGAAAACCACAATAGATAAAGCAACTTTCTTAGATCACACAGCATATTCACAATGGAGCTGAAACAAGTAAATTAGCTGGACTCACATCTCCAAACCTGAAAAAAACATAGTCACCTCTTTAGACATCAGATGAAGTATAAAGAAAATAGAAATAAAGGCAAAAGTACTACAGCTGTATTTCATGGGGACCCTGACAATTCTCATCAGATACCCGACTCCTGAGGTGTTAGTTCTGAAAAGTGGGCCAAACACTTGGCCCGGAGTTCACCTTTAAGGTTAGTTTAGCAGACTCTGAGAAGCACTAATTAAGACGTGTTAAGCAAATGAAACAAAGTAAAACAAGACAGTTATACAGGCAAATATGTTTAGGAAACCTTTGGTAAGCAGAACTAAATGGATTCTTTACAGCAGGACCTCTCCCACTCTCGAATGCTAACATGCACTGGGACTCTCCAAGAATAAGGTAGAGCAAAGGATAGTTTCTGAATTTATTTGACCATGGAATATTCTTCACCCATATCTCTGGTTGGTCAGAGGTTTTGCCAAAATGACTTTGGAGAGAAAATGTTGTTTTGATATAGTTTTCCAATGCAACCAAATAGGAATGGTCCTGTTTAAGAATGGAAGAGGTGCAGGAGTTACAGAATGGCAGAGTGAGGCCCTCCATAAGCCTACTCTCCCATTAAAATAACAGAAACACTAGGAAATGGTCAAAATAAACTGTTTCAGAACTCTGGAAATTAACCAAAGGCTGGCAACAATCTGAGGGCGTTTATTCAGGAAAAACTGTTGAACCTTGGTAAGAGCAGAAAGGTTTGTGACACTTGAACTTGGCCTATTCCCATCCCATTCTACCCAGCCCCTGTTAGCCATGATAACTAGCAGCCTCACAACCACAGGAATGGTAAAAACCAGCAACTTTGCAGCCACCAGAGGAAATAGACTGGGTTTGAAGCTCCTCAAAATGTCCCATCTGCAAAGCATTGTCATTATTTAGCTGTCCTTCCGACTTCTGGAGAAGTCCCATTTACCAGGCATTGTTGAAATTTGGCCTAACAGAGTTCACTCTGAAGAAAAACTCTATACCCAGGGGATTGGTCAAAAACCATCAGCAGCAATTGTGTATCACTGCAGCTGCCTGAGGCTGCACTGTCAGGTGGGACAATCAAGAGTCTGGCCAAAAATGTAACAGGAATAGCTGGGGAATGATGTTTCCCTGTGGGGCTTTGAAAAGCTCTGACATATTCCCAGGGATCTAAAAGGCTATCTATGCATGTGTGCAGGGTTGTGCACAAGCCCAGAAAAGACCCAAGAAGGTCCCAGTCTCTCAGCTCACCCAATCTCTGGCTAACCATAAGGCTCTGCACAAACAAGAAGTAAAGGTTAAAGCAGGGTTGTAAACTGAGCATTGAAGAGATGCCCCAGCACACCCGGGGCCCCTTGGCAAAGGGTGGAAGATCTACTGGCTCAAAGCATTTAAAGAAATTTCTGGCAAATCATTAGCTGACCAATAAGGTAACTGAACAGAAACGTCAGCAGTGGCACAATATACTGTGATGGCCATTATAAAAAGACGAAAGATAAACTGTTGGTGAGAATGTGGAAAAAAGGGATCCCTCGCACACTGTTGTTGGGAATGTAAATTAGTACAGACATTATGGAAGACCGTATGGAGATTTCTCAAAAAACTAAAAATAGAACTACCATATGATCCAGCAATCCCACTTCTGGGTATACGCCCAAAGGAATTGAAATCAGCATATCAAAGAGTTATGTGCACCCCCATATTCACTGCAGCATTACTCACAATAGCCAAGATATGAAATCAACCTAAGTGTTCATCAACAAATGAATGGACAAAGAAAACGCAGCATACAAACACAATGGAGCATTATTCATCCTTTAAAAAGAAGGAAATTCTTTCATTTGTGGCCACATGGATGAATGTGGAGGACATTATGTTAAGTGAAATAAGCTAGGCGCAGAAGGATAAATACTGCATATTCTCACTTATATGTGGAATCTAAAAACAAAAAGTCGAACTTATAGAAATAGAGAGTAGAATGATGGTTACCAGAAGCTGGCTTCCTGGGGGAGACATTGGTTAAAAGGTAGAAAGTTTCACTTAAATAGGAGAAATAAGTTTTTAGATATATTGCACAGCACGGTGACTATAGTTAATAATAATGTATATTTCAAATTGCTAAGAAAGTAAATTGTAAATGTTCTCATCACAAAAAAATGGTAAGTATGTGAGATGTTAGGTATGTTAATTAGCTTGATTTAATCATTCCGCAATGTCCAAATATATCAAAACTTTACATCATACTCCATAAATATATGTAATTACTACTTATCAATTTAAAAAAATGAAATTAAAAACAATTTCATTTATAGTAGTATCAAAAGGGACACATTTCTTAGAATAAACTTAACCAAAAAATACAAGACTTATACACTGATGACTACAAAACATTGTTGAAATAAATGAAAGGCCTAACTAAATAAATAGAAAGATTTCCCAAGGCCATGGATAGGAAGACAATATTATTGAGATGACAATTCTCTCCAAACTGATCTATAGATCTAACACAATCTTTACCAAAATTCTAACCAGCTCTTTTTCAGAAATTATTAACAAGCTGATCCTAAAATTCATGTGAAAATGCTAGGGACCCAGAATAGCCAAAACAATCTAGGAAAAGAACAAACTTGAAGTTTTCACACTTCCTGATTTTCAAACTTATTATAAAGCTATAGTAATCAGACCATATGGTACTGACATAAGGAAAACATAGATCAATGAAATGTAATCGAGTGTCCAGAAATAAACCCTTTATTTATGGTCAATTGATTTTTCAGAAGGGTGCCAAGACAACTGAATGGGGGAAAAATAGACTCTTGAACAAACAGTGGTGGACACAAATAAACAGTGATGTCCACAAATAAAAAAGTAAAGTTGGACCCTCTACCTCACGCCATACACAGAAATTAACTCAGAATAGTCACAGACATAAAGGTAAGAGCTAACGTCATGAAACCCTTTGGAAAAAAAACAGAATCTGTACGATCTTGATTTAGGCAATGGTTTGTTACATATAGCACCAAAAGCACAAACAACAAAAGAAAAAAATAGATAAATTGAACTCTGTCAAAGTTAAAATTTTTGTGCTGCAAACAATACTATCAAGAAAGAGGAAAAAAATAACCCACAGAATAGAGGGAACTATTAGCAAATTCACGTATAGCAAGGGATTTATATCCAGAGTATATAAAAGAATTCTTACAACTCAATAATAAAAAGACAAGTAATCCAATTAAAAATGGGCAAAGGATTTGAGTAAACATGTCTCCAAAGAAGACATATGAATGACAAATAAGAACTTGAAAAAAATGCTCATCATCATTAATCATCAGGGAAGTGCAAATCAAAACCACAATGAGATGCAACTTCATGCCCAATAGGGTAGCTATAATCAAAAAGACAGAAAATAACAAGTATTGGCAAGGAAGTGGAAAAGTTGGAACTCTCATACATTACTAATGAGAATGTAAAATGGTACAGCCCCTTTGGAAAACACTTTGGCAGATCCTCTAAATGTTAAACATAGACATGACCCAGCGTTCCACTCCCAGGTACATATGCAAAAGAAATGAAAATGTATGTCCACACAAAACTTGTACATGAACATTCATAGCAATATAATTCATAGTAGCCAAAAAGTGAAAACAACTCAAATGTCCATGAACTGATAAATGGATAAACAAAATGTAATATAACCATAAATGGAACATTTCTGTTTCTTGAAAAGAAATGAAGTGCTAATATGGATGAGCCTTAAAAACATTATGCTGAGTGAAAGAGCCAGACATAAAGAAGCACTTTATGTCCATTTATGTGAAAAGTCCAGAATTGGCAAACCTAAAGAGACAGATGTATATTAGAGGTTCCCTAGAGCTGGGGAGGAGGTTAGGAATGGGAATGACTATTCATGGGGTGGGGTTTCTTTTTGGGGTGACGACAACAACCTAAAATTACACTGTGCTAGTGGTTGCACAACTCTGTGAATACACCAACAACCACTGAATAATACACTTTAAATGGGTAGGTTTTATGATTTGTGAATTACATCTTATTAAAGATGTTTTAAAAAGCAATGGAAGAGGTTCAAACTAACCCAGGTTTTTGTTTTACCAGGTGCACACATGCATTCTAGCTTACCATGGGAGAAGAAAACCTATTCTTCTTTGTGAGATACTCTGAAATCATACTATGCTTTGCTGCCAGAGAGCTGACTAGAGAATAGCCCAGGAGCCTACCAGGAGAATCAACACGAAAAAAAACACACATTTTCCGTGGTGTTTCTCAGACTGGCTCTTTGCTTTTTTCTCTTTCAGCAACCTAGCATTCTCTTTTTATTTTTATCTCAAGCACATAATAACTCTATTAATTCTCTCTAAGTATTTCCAAGTGTAAGCCCTGCTGTGCTGCTTTAATGAGTAGATTCATTTATAATTAGCATTCATTTGAAATCAATATTTTTCTTGCATCCTTTAAAATCTAACTAAAATGAACCTTTCAGAAAAACATCTGTATTAACACCCTCCTGACTAGGCAATCTTAACTGTAGTCATTCCTTCATTCTGCACACTGGCAATGCTACTATGAACACCTTATTCAGTATTAATTTATATTTACTCACAGGAACACACCATTTAGGTAAAGGGGACAGTGGTGGTTCTTAACTGTGGCTGTAAAATTTTGATGTTCTTCTTATTGAAAGGCAGGATCTATGGCCCCCTCTTTGAGTGTGGGTGACCTTGCAATAATTTGCCTAACTGACCGTGGTGGAGGGGACACTGTGGGACTTCGAGAGTAAGTCAAAGTCATGTGGCTTCCACCTCGTTTTCTGGAACCTTCACTCTTGGAGCTCCAGGCTGCAAGGCAAAAGTATGACTTCCATGAGGCCATGATCCAGTGGGGAGCCCCAGCCCGTGGAGAAAGCACAAGGCAATGGGCTGGTTAGCAAGCCAAGCTCAGCTCAGCCTTGTGAGTATCAGTCCAAGCGCCAGCCATATGGGGTGTCAGGGGATTCCAACTCCTGGCCATTAGCGTGTTCTCAGCTGAGGCCCAAACACGGTGGATCAGAAACAAGCCAGCTCAGCTCAGCCTTGTCCAAATTCATGAGCCACAAAATTCATGAGGATCATAAAAATGGTTATTGGATTACTAAGTTTGAGAGTGTTTTGCTGTGCCACATTAGATAAGAGAGGGCACTTGGAAAAGGACTTCTCCAGCCCAATATTACCCGGCTGATGCTGCTGACCTTGTTAACAGGCCAGCAACTGCCCTTGAGGAACATGAAGTCCCACTTAAAGGAATTACCTTTGTTAATAGACTTCAGGCCCATTGGACACAGGGAAAGAATCTGGGTTCTTCCCAAAGTTTTTTGTAATTGGATATGGCTTTTAATTTGCAGAGCATTTGTAAATAATCTATAGAAGTCCTCTTGATTTTCCCAACTAGACTTTAAGTGTCTGGGGGCCAAGGAATGTCTTGTTTCCTTTGTTCTCTAACCCTCTGGCAGCAACTGAAGTAGAGCTTGGCATCTCACAGGGACTCGGTGGGTAGCTCGATTACTCCTGGAGCCCCTCAGGGCGGATGTCCTGTGTGACTTTGGATGCTTGATTACTTGGTTTGGCTTCTATGCCCATTGCTTTTAATCTGGGGAAGTGGCATGGGGTAGGGAAAGGGGAATGGAAAGAACTGGAAGTTAGGAGTCGGGAGACCAGGAGTTAAACCAGGCTTCTGGCCCTGACCACTTCTGTGATCTTGTCAGGCATCCACTTCTCAGAGGCTCACTTCAAGTCTAGGAAATGGGATCACAGTTTATCCCGGGGTTGCTCTGAAGTTTGAATGAAGTGCTATAGGTAAAAAGGCTTTTCAAATTAAAATCACTATGCAAATAAAAGTAAAGCATTATTATTATCTGTAGTATGCATTTGCATAAATTCCGTCTTCTCTAGGCCTCCATGAAATGGGGATAATAATAGTTATTACCTCTCGCCAGGATTACTGCAATACCCTCCTAACTGGTCTTCGTATTTCTATTTTTGCACTTTTAAAAGTCATTCTTTGCATAGCAGCTGGGCTATCTTTTTAATAAGCAAATCATGCCACATCCTTCTCCTGTTTAAAAATCCTTCAATGGCTTCAGATTGTGCTTAAAATAAAATTGAAAGTCCATGTCAGAGTCCGCAGGGCCCTGTACCATCTGGCCCCTGCCTACTGTTCCGCCCTCCACCCTGAACGTCCCGAACTCCAGCGGCACTGCCTTCTCTAGGTTTCTGGAACTTAGCAAGAGCTTGACAGCCCCAGGACATTTGCACTCACTATTCATGGCTGGTTTCATCTCCTGGTGCTGGTCTCAGGGTGTACATCAGCCCTTTGAAGAGAGTGTCCTTGACCACTCTTCCCAAAGTAGCCCTCAACTGATTCTTAATCACTTTCTAAAATAATATTGTTCAATGTTTACTTACTTGTTCTCTGTTTCCCACCACTAAAATGTGAGTTCCATGAGAGCAGGGGCCTTGACCCTCCTGTCAAGCGTAGCACCCAGCACACAGCAGGCCTTCAATAAATATTTGTTGATGAATGAATGAGTAAATGATTGAAAATATCAGAGTCCCCTACCCTGCCCACCACCACAGTATAGAAAGTTCACATCTGCTCAGTGCTCCAGGGAGAAAAGCCTGTGGAGAAGAGGATGACAGTGGTGATTGTGTGAGGTATCATTATGTGAACCAGATGTGAGGGCTGCTGGCCCAGAGTCCCCGCTCCCCATGTGCTGGGCCGACCTGCGTTCATTGGCTGAGATTACCCTTATGAGGAAGGGCAGCATCAAGCGCAAGTTCTTCAGTAACCTGTGGCCTTCTCGGGTCCTTGGTCACAATGGCTACTTTTTTTCCCCAAGAGCTCACAAGTGCTGTCACCGAAGCTGACATCACATTCTGGCCAAGGCTCAAGACCAGAACTTCCTGCTCTTAATTCTAGCCCAGTGCATTTTTTTTTTCCTGAGATGGAGTCTCCCTCTGTTGCCCAGGCTGTAGTGCAGTGGTGTGATCTCAGCTCACTGCAAACTCTGCCTCCTGGGTTCAAGCGATTCTCCTGCCTCAGCCTCCCAAGTAGCTGGGATTACAGGCGCACGCCACCATGCCCAGCTAATTTTTGTATTTTTAGTAGAGACGGGGTTTCACCCTGTTGGCCAGGATGGTCTCAGTCTCTTGACCTCGTGATCCAACCACCTCGGCCTCCCAAAGTGCTGGGATTACAGGCATGAGCCACCGCACCCAGCCAGCCCAGTGCATTCTTCAGAGTCATTCCTCTCAAGATTTATCCGTGACATCTTTACAATGAGGACAGAGCTCCTCTCCTCAGATAGGGCTGTGATAGGACAAGCAGAAAATGGGTCAAGAAGGGGAGTAAATGCATGCAGGGGAGTGGGAGACGGCAGGCTTCCTGCTATGCTTGCTGCTTGCAGCTGTCACACCCACACATCATGTCCCAGGCTTGTTAGTAGATAGAGGGAAGACGCTGTAACAAAGGGACCCCAAAACATGTGGCCCAGAGTGTGGGTAACGCTGCAGCAGGTCATCATCCAGAGGCCCGGTTCCCTTTCACGAGCCCTGGGGAACCATCCTCAATCACATGAAGCAGGGGTGAGTGAGGGGCAAGCGTGGTCCTGTTAAGAACATAACTCAGAAGTAGACCACATCACTTCTGCTTGCATCCTTTTTGT
This sequence comes from Homo sapiens, assembly GCF_000001405.40. NCBI lineage: Eukaryota > Metazoa > Chordata > Mammalia > Primates > Hominidae > Homo > Homo sapiens. The sequence goes on from NC_000001.11 coordinate 228,999,224, forward strand.
GCAACCTTCACCTAAGGGCCATATCTTGTTCAAGGGAGGCTGAAGAACGTCATATCCCTGTGCGTAGCTGTGAGCCCTGTGCTCAGGGGCTTCTGTTATCAAGAGCAAGAGGGTGATGAATATCAAAGGACAATTTATAGTCATTATCTCACTTTCAGACAGTAGCTGAGCAAACTTTGAAGTCCCTGGAACCGTCCCCAAACATGTAGAGGTGACTTTCACAATGGAATCAAGAAGGCGGAGGAAAAGACAAGCATCGCTTTAAGAAAACTGAAAGAGATATCCAAAGTTTTTTGGCAAAACTCCTCCAAAATACTACTACCTAATTTTTTTTCTGTCATGAAAACATCAATTTTCACTACAATCTAGTAGTTACCAGGATCATGACCTTTAACAGATTTATCCTTTTTGGATTGAACTCTTGGATTTTGGATTTTAGTCTAGGGGGAATTTTTTTGAGATGAAAAGTTTGAAAACACTCCATTTGGCAGATTCTAGAGCAGAGAAACAAAAATCTCTCTTATGTAACATATTTTGGGATTTCTTTACATTTGGTTAACTCAGGGGTCACTGCATTATTACGAACACTTGGGGCATAAGGATGGGCATTGGAATTTGTGCTTCATATTACAAACTATTGCTGCTAAGAATTCCCGAGCATAAACCTGGTCAGCCCAGGATACAACTGGGCAGCTTTTCAGACAGTACATCTCGCTTTTCTGTTTACCATATGGGAGAGCAACATGAAATGCCTGGAACATGTATCTGTAAGGCATGCTAATTGCAGCATTGCTGCCGGCCCACGGGCTAGGATGGAAACAGCAGTCTGCTTGCCCTTGGGTTGTTGTTATTGTTCTTGTTTTTGTTTTCGTTTTTGCTGTTCTTTTCGGGGCCTCAGTTTCTGACTCTATGCAATGAGATTAGTCATAACTTATGGGCATCTTGTAAAAATCATCTACTTTTGTGACCTGGCAGATCTTGTTTTTTTCTCTTCCATGGTATGAGAGGGTCACACTGCACCAGAGTTTACCAGACTGTATTTTGGGGATCCCCAGAGTTCTGTGAAGGTTCTGTTATAGTAGGTAGCTAGTCAGGCATGAGCAGGACAGGAGGGGGCTCCCCAGCCAGCCCTGACACACCCACCAGAAATGTCAGGTGACCATCAGGTGACAGGCAGCTGGCTGTTAACGATCGCTCTAAAATAGTAATTGGTCGCAGCCAGCGCCAGGCAAGGGCAGTCTCCCAATAGATAGAAAATACCTGAAACTGGTGATCAGCAGCTTCCAGATAAGATCTCAGGAGTTGGGTGAGTGGACCCAACACGCGCACTAAAAGGCAAATGGCGGCGTTTAACTGGTATATGACCTTCTTCTAGGAACGCTGGACTGGTAAGGGACAGACGCCTCAAGTGGGCATGTGCATGACTCCAGTAAACGCACTGCACACAAGACCCCTCCCAGGTGCTGGCAGGCCACTGCACATGCAGACAGCCAACCCCAAGGGAAGAATCAGGGGAGATGTACCACACGACCCCAGAAACATGCCAACGTATAAAACCCCAAATCAAAGGCCAAACCCTGCACTGGACCTCTCAAGTCGCCTGCTTGGCCCTCTTCCAAGTGTACTTACTTCCTTTCATTCCTGCCCTAAAGCTTTTTAATAAACTTTCACTCCTGCTCTAAAACCTTGCCTCATGGGCGGGTGCATTGGCTCACCCCTGTAATCCCAGCACTTTGGGTGGCCGAGGCAGGTGGATCACCTGAGGTCAGGAGTTCGAGACCAGCCTGGCCACCAATATGGTGAAACCCCATCTCTACTGAAAATAAAAATTTAGCTGGGCGCGGTGGCATGCACCTGCAGTCCCAGCTACTCAGGAGGCTGAGGCAGGAGAATCGCTTGAACCCAGGAAGCGGAGGTTGCAGCGAGCTGAGATCATGCCACTACACTCCAGCCTTGATGACAGAGTGAGACTCCGTCTCAAAACAAACAAACAAACAAAACACCTTGCCTCAGTTTTCCCTTACACCTTATGACTTATGCCCCTCAGTTGAATTCTTTCTTCTGAGGAGGCAAGAATCGAGGTTGCTGCAGACTGCACAGATACGGATTTGCTGCAGTAACAGTACCTCAGATCTCTCTGGCTGGTTGGGCTAAGAAAGGACGCCAGGCTTACCTTGTACAGCTCACTTTGAAGCTCTGCTGTATTTGTTTGATAATCCGAGATGTATGATTACACTGGAAAAATAAAGGGCTTGATTCTTTAAAAACATCAGCAGGCTACCATGCTAGAATAATCTTTAAAATCATTTCTAGTTCCAAAACTGTGAGAGTCAGAGAGGTCAGAGAAGTGAGCCTAGAAGATAATGTCTGTTGACAGCTGCCAGGTGTTCAAGGTGGAGCCGGGAGGTAGCAAGGTGTGGAGGAAGGATGTGGGTGATGTGTACATAGGAAGGCATCTGCAAGCAGCTGGTGGTGAATAAACCCTATAGGGAGGCCCTCTAGGCTCATGTGGAAGGAAATGGATCTTGGAGTTAGGAGACAGAAGTTAAGAGCCAAGCTGCTCTTCCATGAGTCAAGTGATCTCCAATGAACTGCTTACCCTCTGAGTCTTGATTTCTTCATCTATGAAAGTCAGGAGGTGGGGGTGGGGGTATTAGACAAGTCCATAATACCCTATGCATATTTCTAAAGTTCCCCAAACCAAAAAAGTATTTATCCACTTAGTACTAACTGTTTTGGTGGCAAAATTTCATATGAACAAACAGGAGGTTATATATATTCTATATGTATCCCTGTCTAAGTCTGTTTTGTGCTGCTGACCTGAGGCTGGGTAATTTATAAAGAAAAGAGGTTTCTTTGGCTCACAGTTCCACAGGCTATACAAGAAGCATGGCGCTGACATCTGCTTTTGGTGAGGACCTCAGGAAGCTCCCAATCATGGCAGAAAGTGAAGGGGGAGCAGGCATGTCACATGGCAAGAAAGAGGGAGCAAGAGGGCGGGGAGAAGGTGTCAGACTCCTTCAAACAACCAGCTCTCAGCTCTCACGTGAACTCATAGAATAAAAATCACTCATTATCTTGGGGAAGGGCATCAAGCCATTCATGAGGGATCAGCCCCCCATGACCAAACACCTCCCACTAGGCCCCACCTCCAACACTGGGGATCAAATTTCACATGAGGCTTGGGGAGGACAAATATCCAAACTATATAAATCCCTCAGTGCAATTACATATCTATATCTAGACATCTATCTCTACACACACGCATCCTGTTTCATTTCAGAAGTGTTCGTGTGTTTAATTATGGGTGCTATGTCAGACTCACTCAGTGTTCAATAATTTGTGGTATATGCATGCTTGATCTTTCTGAAATCTGAGGAATCCTGAAGTCCAAACACATTTGTTCCCAGTAGTTTTAGATAAGGGGCAGGAGTCCTGTAATACTTCTTGACCTGCCCTTCAGGCCTGTGGTGCAGACTGCACAAGCCACTAGCCATGGCACACATGGTAAGCTGTGAAGCCCCGGGTATAAAGGACAACATTCCCCAGGGCCACTGCATTAGTCTGCTAGGGCTGCCATATCAGAGCCGCTTAGACTGGGTGGCTTACACAACAGACATGTATTTTCTTGTGATTCTGCAAAGCTGGAAGTCCAAGATCAAGGTGTTACCAGGGTAGCTTCTCCTTGGCTTGCAGTTGGTCATTTTCTCCCTGTGTCCTCACACAATTTCCCTGTTTGTGTTTGTGTCCAGTCTCCTCTTCTTATAAGGACACCAGTCAGATTGGATTAGCCCATCCCTGTTTTAACTCAATTACCTCTTCAAGATCCTGTTTCCAAATACAGTCACATTCTGAGGTCCTGAGGATTAAGAATTCAAGATGAATTTGGGGGGACACAATTCAGTCCATGAAGTCAACATTTAGGCCATTCCAGCCGCCAGGTCTCCTGGCTTAGTGTTTAAACCTGTGACTTTCTACGCTTTACACATAACAGCATACCTAAATTCAGGCAAAAGCTGGGTGGTGATGGAGACATGCCTTTCCTGCCTGCAAACTGTGGCTGTATGATTCCCCTGCGGGCGAGCCTCTGGGAGTTTAGAGTGTCTCATTAGAAGAGCCACACTGAGAGAAGTCCTAATAAATAATTAGAAGTACATCTGCTAACTCTGTGGAACTTCGGCCCAGGCCCCGCACCAGGCCAGTGTGAAAGGGAGGTTAATCAGCCGGCACCCCGGCGGGGTTTCCCTTTGTCCATCACACCTCGGGACAGGGGGAGGGGAGGGAGGAAGGAGGTGCCTCAGGTCCTGGTGCCCCCGAGGCCTGGTGAGGCCACTCGCTCTGCCCTGTAACTTCAATGAAGGGCACAGCTGGGAAGAGGATGACCAAATGGAAGACACTGTCTTTCCTGGCAGACCATCCGTCTCTGTTTATTGTCCTGTGTTTTCTGATGGGGCCACACTGGGGTTTGGCCAGCAGTGGCAGGCCCCCTGTGTGTCTGTAATAAGACAAGCAGTGGAGTCTGTCGGTCAACAAATATTTATTGACCTCCTGAGGTCACAGAGCCCGGGGCCTGACTCTGAGGAGACACTCTGGCTACAGCCATTGTTCACCAGGCAAACACCCAGGCAGCGGAAGGCCCAGATGTCCTCCTCAGCCTCGAGCAAGGGCTGCAGGCCAACACCACGTCAGATGGCAGCTCCTTTCATGGGCTTTCCTAGGGCTCTGGAGATGGTCCAACCAGAAACCATTACTAAGGGGTTACTTTACCGAGTATCTTGGTGTCTGGCTCAGGGTTGGGCTCACAGAGCTAATGCAGAAATGAACCCACCTTCGTTGGCCAATAACAGATGCTCTTCCCGCCTCTAACAAAGCCCTCACAGCCTTCATGCCTGCAGATTTTTCACAAGCTGTACCCTTTCTCAGGGGCATTTTGCTTTCTAACAGCATCAAAACACCACACTGAAGGGACTAGACCAGAGCTGTGAGTGGACTCCCGGGCATGAGCACAAGGAATATTTTTTCTAGTCAGGGTTTTACAGGCCCCAAAACAATATTATGTAAGCATGCATAGCTGGCTCTTGTTCTGTTACACTCACTTATGTATTTTCTTCTGCTGAAAGTGTGGACTTATGTGTGTGGCATTAAGGAAAGAGAGAGCATCAGTCACCCTGAGATAATCATGCGTCCTTGGGGGCTTCCAGTATGGCTGAGAGAGATAAGGAAGGCTGGGGTAAAACAGCGCTTCTCTGCTTTTTACCTCTGCTTCTCCATGAGATAGAGGGTAATGGCGTTTTGTTCCTTCCACAAGTGACGCACTTTCAAGATGGAAGAAGATACACTGTGAATAGACATCGGGACACCCTTGGCTGTTCTGTGCTTCCCCGGCCCACCTGGGGAAGCCAGAGGTCTCTGTCCCTTGGCTGCTCATGTAAAGAGGTCCCTTGGCCTGGCTTGGGGCAGAGATTCTCTGCAGAAGTGGGCAGAACACAGACGTGAGGGGTACGCGTAGGAGGATTCGTTCACACACCTGTTACTGCTCGATTCAGCTGCTTTTGTCCATCGCATCAAGACCCTGTAGGAGCAAGTTCTAAAGACTTGAAAGCTAACACCAGTGTCTTTTCTTTCTTTCTTTCTTTTTTGAGACAAGGTCTCACTCTGTTGCTCAGGCTGGAGTGCAGTGGTGTGATCACGGCTCACTGTAGCCTCAACTTCCTGGGCTCAAACAATCCTCCCGCCTCAGCCTCCCAAGTAGCTGAGTGAAAACACACCACCAACCCTGGCTGATTTTTTATGCTTTTCTAGAGACGGGGTTTTGCCATGTTGCCCAGGCTGGCCTCCCATAGTGCTGGGATTGCAGGTGTGAGCCACCACGCCCTTCTTGCCAGTGTTTTCTCAAATTCCTTACATCTGTTTTGGCTTCAGAGTCCCTTCAGACCTTCTGCCAGGGAGTGTAAAGTGCCCCCTAACCCTCCTTTGCACTGGCCATGGGTCCTGCTGTACTTTCAGAATGCTGCCCAAGCATAGTGCCTGCGCCTCAGGGACCTGCAGGATGTGCATGTGTGAGTGTGTACGGCCTGTGTGCCAGTGTGTTTGGTGTGTGTGTGTGATGTGTGAGAGGATGTGTGGTGTGAAGGGTGTGATGGTGTGAGTGTGAGAGTGTGTGTGAGTGTGTACATGAGGCTAACAATGACTGCACACTTCCTCTGTATCTGACACATCCCTAGGGTTTTCGCACACATGACTTCATTTTGTCCTTACACAAGCCTGTCAAGCATGCATTATTCTCATGTCATAGAGAAGGAAACCGAGAATTACAGGGACTTCTAACTTACCCAAGATCACACAGCTGTTAAATAGGCAATAGTACCTGGCTTTGTCTGTCCAATTCCTAAGCCAAGATTCTTTCCCCAGTGTGTGTCCTCCTACCAGCGAACTCAGCTAACAATGTGTGGAAATGTGTGTCCCATTTCAATCAACAACTACAGCTGCCTCCGATGTGGGACACACACCACCACAGCCAAGAGTGGAGCGGGGAGTGGGACGTCCTTGGTCCCGGGTCCCGCCATTGGGAGGCAGAAGCTGGAGGAAGAGCAAAGGGTGCCCCCCTCACCCCCAACCCTCCTGCCTTGATGCCCTAGGGCAGGGTTGTCTGCAATATGTTTTTCCCACAGGCCTTAGTTCTGTAAGATGAAGAAGTTTTCAGTGAGAAAAAAGAAACCCTCGATCCAATAAAAAAAAACTTGAGGAAAATGCTAATTTAGACAAACAGGATTTTGTGTCCGAGTGTGTTTTATTTTGTTTTGATTTTATCGCAGGGCTCTTCAAGTCTTTGTTACACTGGCATGCACTGTGATTTTCAGAGGAGCTTATAGAACGCAGTGCTTCCCAAACACAACAAATATCACAGGCAAGACTCTCAGATCAGGCGTTGGAAAACTCACCCTACACTGCTTCTGTCTTAAATCCCCTTTGCTGACTGTATTGCTTCATGTCAGCAATCCACATGGGTGGCCAGGTGGCTCTGAGAGAGCTCAGTGCCTTCTAGGGTCAAAGAGCTCATCTAGGCAGAAGGAAGTGGATGATGCTCACAGGCCCCTCTGGCAGGTTTTGGCCCTATGGCTGGCGAGCAGTGGAGGCATCGGCCAGGTAAGCGAGTTCTCCTCCTGGTCTCCACCTCCCCTCCTGTGTGGGCATGAGTTAGAACTAGTCTGTGCTGGAGAGGGTGGAATAGGAGGCTGGCTCTGGGTCACAAGAAAAGGATGACATTCCTTCACAATCCACATGAGATCCTTCCAGGGGAGGAGGACCAGAAAAACATTCTTATCATTATGATCAAGGTGACCCTATGTTTAGCCTCCTTGTGGTGTGGCTCGAGGAAACACAGATGATGAAAACGCGTTCTGCTCTGTGCGACACAATGGAGCTGATGCCTCCGTTGGCAACCTGCTGGAGCCATGACTCACGCAGAGGCATTTTGTAATTTGTCTTTGTATCCACAAAGCCTGTTATAGGCCTTGGTATATAGGTGGTGCATAATGAATATTTGGTGAGCAAAGGGAGCCAGGCAGTGTGTACTGGCTGGCATGCAAGGTGCTGTGGTCAGTCCCATCGAGCAATCCCCTGAGTGGAGAGGGCTGTCCGTCTCACATAGATCCACCCAGCTCTCCCAGGGAACCACTCACTCTGCCTTTAGCCAAAGGGAAGGGTCCATGGGGTTGGATATGTGTGATCCAGCATATTTCTTCAAAACTTACCCACTTCCATTGAAGCAGAAAAGTGTTCTCTCTTGTTTTAGAATGAGCAGAGGAAAAGTTAGGATGAGCTTGGAAAGAAAGAGGAGCAGCAGTTGCCTACCAAGAGTTTGCAACCAGGAATGGGAAAATCATGGCAGGCTATTTATTCATTTGTTTGTTTATTTTCTTAGAGATGGGGTCTCACTATGTTGCCCAGGCTGGACTCGAACTCCCGGTCTCAAGCGATCCTCCAGCTTCAGCCTTCCAAGTAAATATGGCAGGTTTTGAACCATCTTCCACAGTCCCTGAGCAGAAGACAGTGGCACTGAGCATCCCCAAAGCAGGAGACAAGCAGCCCCATGTGGACATAGCTCCTTGGGTTTCCTAGGGTCTCCTCGGCACTGGGGCCCAGAGGGCACAGCCCCTGTCCCCGCCTCATGTTGCTGTCTTGACTGGAAGCTGCCCCATCTCTTCTTTACCTGCCTGGACTTCCTTGTCCTGGGGAATGTCACCCATGTCAGATCCTCTGGGAGGGCACTGGCTCTTTGCTTGGTTTCAGATAAGCGGCCGTTGGCCCTGTGTATAAGAGGCACATGTGGCAGGATGAGAGGGAGACTGGTGGGAGGCAGCTGGAGGGACACAGACCCCGCAAACAGACAATAGGCTCAAATCGGGACTCCATAGCGCCCCGGTGGTGTCACCTTGGGTAGATTACTGAACTCACAAACTTCTGTTTCCACATCTGTGAGATGGGGATTTAGAACCTATTTCATGGAGTTGTCTCAGGAATGAATGAGAACATGCATGAGAAGCACTCAGTCAAGGCTCGGTCCCTTTAATACCTGGACGCTTTCACAGCCGCCCAGCCTGTGTGTCTCCGCAGACCACAGGCATGCGTCAGTCAGGTTGGGACATCTCTCATGGCCCATTTTCCTACCCTCAGCCCCAGTGGTCTTATCTTGCCTGAGGCGTCAATGCTGGAGCTGAAAGGCCAGTGGTGAACACTAAACCCGGAGCCGCACATTCAGGCCCTGACTGCAGTGAGCATTCACCAGGTACCCGAGTCTTGGCCAAGCCACTGACCTCACTTACAGAATTATGACCTGCTCTTCCAAAATCAGCTGAGATCATACATGCAAAGGTGCTTCTTAACTGTAAATTTCTAGTCATTTGTAATATCCTAAGACTGACATTTGCTTAGGGTCTCTCCCTGGCTTAACCCGTAAGTTGGGGAAGATATAAACATAAAAATCAATTGTAGATCTCTTAAAGGGCATAGCTCAGTTAAGAAATAAGAGCTTAGTAGGCTGGACGTGGTGGCTCATGCCTGTAATACCAGCACTTTGGGAGGCCAAGGCGGGTGGATCACGAGGTCACAAGCTCGAGACCAGCCTGGCCAACATGGTGAAACCCCATCTCTACTAAAAATACAAAAAATTAGCCAGGTGTTGTGGTGCACACCTGTAGTCCCAGCTACTCAGGAGGCTAAGGCAGAAGAATGGCTTGAATTTGGGAAGTGGAGCTTGCAGTGAGCCGAGATTACGCCACTGCACTCCAGCTTGGGCGACAGAGCGAGATTTTGTCTCAAAAAAAAAAAAAAGAGAGAAATAAGAGCTTAGCATTGGGAGTAGACATTTCAGCTGTCCTCAGGAACTGAAAACCTCAACAGAGAGATAAGACTCGAACAGAGAAACAGGTTTTTAAGAAGTGCCTAGGACAGAATAGCAAGACCAGCACACCCAGAGAAGAGAACATGTAGAACTGACATGGTCAGTGCCCACCTGAAAAAAAAGGTGGCATTTGAAATGGACCTTGAAGAATAGACTTCAGTCTGGGCTCAGTGGCTCACACCTTTAATCCCAGCAATTTGGGAGGCCAAGGGGGGAAGATGGCTTGAGCACAGTAGTTTGAGACCAGCCTGGGCAACACAGCCAGATTCCATCTCTATTAAAAAAACAAACAAACAAGCAAACAAAACAAAAACAAAAACAAAAAAAAACAGATAAATTAGCAGGGCATAGTGGCATGCACCTGTGGTCCCAGCTACTCAGGAGGCTGAGGTGGGAGGATTGCTTGAGCCTGGGAGACTGAGGCTGCAGTGAGCTGTTATCGCACTACAACACTCCAGCCTGAGTGACAGAGAATGACTCAAAAAAAAAAAAATAGGACTTAAGTGCCCAGGGACCCTACTTTCTTTAACATTTACTTCGTATGTTCTGATGAATTTCACATTTTTACAGGAGTGGGCTCCAATTTTTAATGAAATCTTGAGCCAAAGCCCCTAATATAAAACCACATGTTGACATTTCATTGGCACAAATTTATGCTACTTCAAATCTACAACAGTAGTTAAAAATTCAATTAAGAAATAAGACTGGGCCAGGTGTGGTGGCTCACACCTGTAATCCCAGCACTTTGGGAGGCCGAGGTGGGTGGATCACAAGGTCAGGAGTTCAAGACCATCCTGGCTAATAGGGTGAAACCCCATCTCTACTAAAAATACAAAAAATTAGCCAGGCGTGGTGGCAGGTGCCTGTAGTCCCAGCTACTCGGGAGGCTGAGGCAGGAGAATGGCGTGAACCTGGGAGGTGGAGCTTGCAGTGAACCAAGATCGTGCCACTGCACTCCAGCCTGGGTGACACAGCAAGACTCTGTCTCAAAAAAAAAAAAAAAAGAAAAAGAAAAAGAAAAAAGAAGAAATGAGGCTGGGAGCAGAGCGGTGGCTTATGTTTGTAATCCCAGCACTTTGGAAGGCCGAGGTGGGTGGATCACCTGAGGTCAGGGGTTCAAGACCAGCCTGGGCAATACGAAACCCTGTCTCTACTAAAAATACGAAAATTAGCTGGGCATGATGGCGCGTGCCTGTAATCCCAGATACTCAGGAGGCTGAGGCAGGAGAATTGCTTGAACCTAGGAGGCGGAGGTTGCAGTGAGCTGAGATCGTGCCATTGCACTCCAGCCTGGGTGACAGAGCAAGACTCCAGCTCAAAAAAAAAAAAAAAGAAAAAATATCGCGACTTTTTAAATCAAAATTTTATTTAGCAAATTAAGAAGTGTTATTTATTTAGTAAGAATTTGAAATACTAATAACAGCCCTACCAACCAGTTTATTTCTATGGATTGTTTCAGTTGCAGCACTGTGAGAAAGGTTTGGGGCACTCAGATAAGCAACTGTGCATACTAATGTTTTTTAAATAATTCATTTTGCAACCTCGAGATGCTTTTTCAGCAAATTGATCTAGGTTAAGCATTGGCAAAATTTTCTGTAAAGGATCAAGTACTATATATTTTAGGTTTTGTGGGTCTTATGGTCTCTGTTACAACTACTTAACTCTGCCTTTCTATCTCAAAAGCAGCCACAGACCACATGTAAACAAATAAGCGGTGCCATGTTCCAATAAAACTTTATTTACAGACACAGAAATTTTAATTTCATATAAATTTCACATTTCACAAAATATTGTTTGTCTTTTTATCACTTTTCAGCCATTTAAAAATGTAAATACTACTCATAGCTGATGGACCATACAGAAACACGCAGTGAGTTTGGTTTTGGCCTAATCCCCTATGGAAACGCTCAAGAGAGTAATAGAATATTTTTGTTCCAACATTAAATCACGAATCAAAAAAAGCTCTAAGTGAATGTTTCAAATCATTAATTAGTAAGTATTAAATCTGGAAGAAATCAAAGAATCTTTCTCCATTTCTGGCAAAAATATTCTTTTAATATATCTTTTGAAACATTTTGAATATTAAATAATGTCATTAAAATAAAAAATCTTAGATACCGTAATGCTCATCTTTGCAGCATATTTAAACACAGTTTTAAAAGTCAAATTTGTTTTATCTTTCAGGTTGAGTTTAAGTTTTTCTGTTTTTTAATTGCCAACAATTTTTCTGCAGTTGTAATCACCATAATGTTGCAACCTTCACAGCCTGAATTGAATTTGTTCCGTTCATTAAAAATATCAGCAAAACACACAAATTGGAGCAAGCATGTTATATCTGGCGGTATTTAGCTGGGTAGAGTTCCTACATTTGCAAAAGGAAAAAATATATATATAGGTATGTACAGTCATGTGCCACATAACAATGGTTTGGTCAATGATAAAGTGTGATGAGACAGTTGTCCTGTAAGATTATAATATCTATTGTCCTGTAAGATGAAAAAAGCCCATTGCCTAATATTGTAGCTGTCGTAAAGTTGTAGAGCAATCACACTTCAGAGTAATTTTAGTGTGGTCTAAGTGTAGTGTTTATAACGTCAGCAGTGGTATCATGTTCTAGGCCCTCACATTTACTCACCACTCACTGACACCCAGAGCTGCTTCCAGTCCTGCAAGCTCCATTCATGGTAAGTGCCCTCTACAAGTGTACCACTTTTTATCTTTCATGCAATGTTTTTACTGTCCTTTTTCTATGTTTAGATACACAAATACTTACCATTGTGTTACAATTCAGTACAGTAAGATTCAGTACAGTAACATGCCATACAGGTTTGTAGCTTGACAGCAATAGTCTGTACCATATAGCCTAGGTGTGTACTAGGCTATTGTAACTGCACGCTGTGATGTTCACACAACGATGAAATCACCTAACAATACATTTCTCAGAACATACACCAGTTGTTAAGCAATGCATGACTGTATATACGTGTGTGTATGTAGGTATGTATATAGTGATTTTGTCTCACTATATATACATAGTGTCATTTAAATATTCCTACCAGTATCACATCTTCTCTAGAGATAGACATCAAACTTTACTATGAAAAGGCAAATTTTTACATACCTTTACAAATCATTGTTAATAAAATTGACAATTTCCATAGCAATATCCAATGCCAAGTTGAAAGATCCTAGCACAGTGCTTATCTGTGCAACTTACCATTGTAGGATAGCACCATTATCCTAAGCACCACTAAGACCAGACCAGTTTCTTACATCTTAGAATGTTAATTTTATAATTGTTGGAAGTACTCTTTAAAGTTTTTAAAAACAATGTTAAATCACAGAGCGCTGTTTCATAAAGTGAGGAATATATGGAGAATAAAATTGGTTAAGATGTTCGTGACACGTCTTCACAAAGTCCCAGTCTTCTGAACCACTTGGCAATTGAGAACCATCATTGTGTTTCCCACAGAGCCGCTGCCCATAAGGAAGAAGCAGCTGCTAGAATGGGCTTTTCTTGTTCTCAGGACTCTGCCCCCTGCCTTGGACACCCAGATTCAGTGTGTGAGGGCAGGCAGTGACAACTGTCACCTTTCCACAGCCTGGCCATCCTCAGGTGGAAGCCCACTCAGAGACTGACCACGTGGAAACCCACGCAACCTGGGGCCGATCAAGTGTGAGAAACCCATGTGGTTCCTCCTCCTGGGGCTGCTGACTGGGGCTACAGACGCTGGGCATTTTTGCCAATTTACTTGATGGTGTGTTTAAAAACTAGCTGAATGGAGTGTTTGCTTTTTGGCCCTCGTGAATGTGTCAGGTTTTACATCCAACAAATCTTGCTCATCTTGGTGAACATATTTTGTGAAAATCATTACAATGAAGAAACCCAGCACATGGGCACTCTTACCGAGATGAACTGTAGAATGTCCCAATCTCAGCTTTTGGTCTCAGCCATCAAGCCACGGCCAAGCTTCTCAGATCCTTCTCTGGGCTCTGTTATCAGATGGTGGCATATTTTGCTGCTCATTTTATCCACTTCATGGCAAGTTTACCTAATAAGTTATGTTTTTTCTCATTGTATAACTTCAGTTGATATGTGTAATAGAGGTAACTTCTGTTGCACAGACCCATGCATGTATTTTATGTTCTGGTGTAATTTGTTTTTATATATTTTTCAGTAACATTCCATTTGCACTGAAATAAGATGAAAGCCCTATTTTTATGTTTTGTTTTATCTTCAAAAGATATCTTAGTTTGGCAGGAACAGCATAAGCATACTAAGGGAATGAGAAGATGTTTGTCATGATAAGTGATGAACCCAGAGAGGCAAGTATGACATCACTCTCTGGACTTCAAGGGGCCATTTTCACTCCTTTGCTTTTCTGTCTTACAGTTTGTCATTGTGGGTGGCGACTGAGTGAGAATTGATTGGAATATTGGTATGATGTCATTTACAGTACACATGACTGGAAGATAAGGGAAGATGAAGTCGCTATCTTGAACATATCTACTCCTTAGTTCCTGCTGGCATTCACCCTTGCAAACTCCCAGCTTTCAGGCTGCTCTTTGTTAGAAAATGATTTGGGGCAGCTTTTCATTAAAAAGACCCATCACAAGTTAGGAAGACTGAGGAGTGGAGGCTCATAAATGCCAGAGCATCACAGATCTCTAATCCTATGTGAGTATCCAGGATTAATTAAACACACTGGAAGTTCCTTCTCAACAACTATGCCATTTCTTTTTCTTTCTTTCTTTCTTTTTTTTTTTTTTTTTTTTTTTGAGGCAGAGTCTTGCTCTGTCACCCAGGCTGGAGTGCAGTGGTGCGATCTCGGCTCACTGCAACCTCCGCCTCCTGGGTTCAAGTGATTCTCCTGCCTCAGTCTCCCGAGTAGCTGGGACTACAGGTGTGTGCCACTAGACCCAGCTAATTTTTTGTATTTTTACAAGATGAGATTTCACCGTGTTAGCCAGGGTGGTCTCGATCTCCTGACCTCGTGATCTGTCCACCTTGGCCTCCCGAAGTGCTGGGATTACAGGTGTGAGCCACCACCGCACCCAGCCGCCATTTCATTAAAGTCCATTTGATATCCCTAATCCTCATTCTTAATACCTATAACCCCCAAAATTTGCCTTCTCAAATTTTAATCTGTAAAAATTGTAAAACTTTAAGCCTTTTAAAATTGTCTTATTTTACACCATCTAATAAGAATAACTTCCAACTTATCCACAAAGGTGCTTCTGGTGGGGTCCAGCTATTAACGCATGTGTATGATTTGCTTGCAAATATTTCCCAAATTCAATTATTAGAAATCTCTGCACTTTTTTTTTTTTTTTTTTTTTTTTTTTTTTTTTTTTTTTTTGGCGTCCTACCTAACCCTCTTTTGTTTTCATACACTGAGTTGAAAATTTCAAGGACTTTTCCACACTAACTCCTAAATCCCATTTCCGTTTTCCTGTTTATCTTAAGTAGGATTTAGATAATGTGTGGCTAAGTAGACACAAATACTACCAGAAAAGAAACGAGGAGGGGAGGAAGAGGGAGGAAGAAGGTAGGGAGTGAATCTGCTGGAGGTGACAGACAGCAAGCAGCATAAGGAAGAAGTATGCTCGCTAGACCAGCAGGCCGTCCTTCTGCTGACGATATGGACTGCAAGTGCCTATGTTTAATTTGACCAAGATGGCCTTTCTTTTCATGGAAAGTCGGGGTTCAGCCCTTGAATTTCATAAGACCTCTCTTTGCAGTGGGTTAGATGCTCTTTTATCTTTTTATAGTCTGTCAGGAAAACATATTTTTTTCCATATAAAAATCAGTCTTTTAAAGTGATGGTGAGTCAGTTACTGGGATTTCAGGACCTAACTTCTTCTCCTTACAAGCAGTGAATAAAACCAAGAGAAACAAGCCTTTCCTCTGCAGAAGCTGCCCCACTTTGTCCTGGCTGTTCCCCTTTCTGTTCTGGGCATTTCTGGCAGGGTCTCCAGGAGGTAACAGAGCAAGAAGGGTCCGATTTCAAACAGAGGTCATTAGAGAGCTGGTCATAATACAAGGTGTTGGAATTAGCACATCAATCGTAAGAAGATAGAATGCTTATAGAGTTTTAAAATATGATCTTAACATTTTATTTCTCCCAATCTTGTTTGTACTTTTCATGCACGCTGTTGATAAACAATGACCATTTCTATTTGCATAGCTTTGCAGTTTACAAAGGTTGTTTACTTCTGTTATTTTGGTGAATCCTTACAACTTGGCATAGGGTGTATTTCTACTATTATCCTCACTTTATAGAGTATAAACTAAGGTTAAGAGATGAGTGGCCTCCCTGGGAAAACTTGGTATAGCTAGGGGTTGAACTCACATATTCCAAACATGGGATTGGAATTCCAAATTTGGGACCCTTTGTTGAGCCACAGGTATTTCCCAATGTATGGTTTGACAAGGACCAGTAACTTCAATCCAGGCCGTATGTGAATGTGATGGTTAATACTGAGTGTCAATTTGATTGGATTGAAGGATACAAAGTATTGATCCTGGGTGCGTCTGTGGGGGTGTTGCCAAAGGAGGGTAACATTTCAGTCAGTGGGCTGGGAAAGGCAGACCCACCCTTAATCTGGGTGAGCACAATCTTATCAGCTGCCAGCATGGCTAGAATACAAGCAGGCAGAAAAACGTGACAAGAGAGACTGGCCTAGCCTCCCAGCCTACATCTTTCTCCTGTACTGGACGCTTCCTGCCTTCGAACATCAGACTCTAAGTTCTTCAGTTTTGGAACTCGGACTGGCTCTTCTTGCTACTCAGCCTGCAGACGACCTATTGTGGGACCTTGTGATCGTGTGAGTTAATACTTAATAAACTCCCATATATATACATATATATATATGTACATATATATGTACATATTCCATTAGTTCTGTCTCTCTAGAGAACTCTAATACAGTGAATTATATAATTTCAAATTATTTGAGTAAAAATTGATAGGATTTGACTATAATTTACCCTTGAGCAAAAGGGCAAACTCACTTAAGAGTAATAAGTAATGGCTTCTATCTAAATCCTCCTGTGGAGAGGGGGGGTGCAGAGAAAAAAGAGTTACTAGAAAATTCTCAGTTGCTCTGAATTACGCGCCTCCTTCAGTAACTTTAGAAAAACTGAAAGAATAAACAAAGCCCTGAAACCAGCTTCAAATGATCTCGGGCTGTTTCACCGACGTGCTGACTGAGTTCATAAGCTAGCGCCTTCTTTACGAGATAACCTGTCCAGTGAATAAAGGAGGGCTTCAGCCAACGCTGGGGAGGAGCAACGGGAAAGGATGGGATGGGTTGTTCCCATCAGCACAGCCTGAACTTTCACACACCCCGCGCGCCCTGCTTTGTGAAAGACTGAAGGGCATTTAGAGACATGGCCCAGTTCTAGCAGCCAGCTCAGGGGGAATGTAAGAGGACACCGTGTCAGGGCCAAAAACCCCATTTCTGCCTGCGTGAAGGAGGTTCCAGCAGCAGCTGCAGATAGCTGGGAGGACTGTGTGGGCCACCTAAGGACACATCAGATCCTGGCAGTGGAAGTGGGGCAGGGTCGGAGGGGAGTCTGGACTGGTCTGGGCAACAGAATGAGACCTACTCTCCTAAAAAAAAAAAAAAAGAAAGAAACAAATAATGTTAACTTTAGAAACATTTTATTTAACCCAATATAGCCAACATATTATCATTTCAACCCATAATCAATATAAAAAGTGTTTTATTTTCAGTATGTATTTAAGGTGTACAACCTGATATTGATATACATATATGTAGTGAAGTGATTACTACAGTCAAGCAAATTAACATGCCCATTATCCATATAGTTAGCTACTCTGTGTGTGTGTGTGTGTGTGTGTGTGTGTGTGTGTGTGGTTAAGTGTATCTAAAATCTACCCTCTTAGCAAATTTCCAGTATACAACACAATACAATATTATTAACTATGGTCCTCATGTTGTACATTAAATCTCTTAGACTTACTCATCTTACATAACTGCAACTCTGTACCCTTTGATGGACAACTTCCCATCCTCCCTGCCCTCTCCACCACTGCCCTCAAAATTGTTAATATGAAGGGCACTGTGGCTCATGCCTGTGGTCTTAGCACTTTGAGAGGCTGAGGTGGGAGGATCACTTGAGCCTAGGAGTTTGAGACCAGCCTGGGTGAACTGGCGAAAACCCTGTCTCTACAAAAAATACAAAAATTAGCCAGGTGTGGTGGCATGTGCCTGTAGTCCCAGCTACTCAGGAGGCTGAGGTGGGAGGATCACCTGAGCCCGGGAAGGTCGAGACTACGGTGAATCGTGATTGCATCACTGCATCCCAGCCTGGGCAAGAGTGAGATCCTGTCTTAAAAAATTAATAAATAAAAAGTGTTAATGTGAAGTTTTATGTTCTTCTTTTTGCCCTATCTTCCTAACTTGACATGGATTTTACCCTTACAGCACGTCTCAGTTTAGACCAGTCCCAGTTTAAGTGCTGGATTGCCACAGGGGTCTTGGGGCTCCACATTGGACTCTGAAGTTGTAAAGTATTCTGTTGCATAAATCCACCAGAATTTGTATCAAGGAAAAAAGATGATAAGCGAAAGTGGAAGAGATTGATTTTTTATGGCAGAACTTCTCAGAGCTCTCAGTAGCATAAAATACGTTGTGAAACTCTAGGATGACAAAGCAGGCACTAGCATTTGTCAAATGAGAAATGATTAAATGAACCTTGCTTATGCAAATGGATGAGAATTGGAAAAACACATGACAAAATAAAAGTTGGACTGAGCGATTCGATTTGAAAAAATTTCAGGTTATGCCACATAGATGTACAGTAAATGAAAACTATTTTTTGGCTGGGCACAGTGGCTCACACCTGTAATCCCAGTGCTTTGGGACGTCAAGGCAGAAGGATCCCTTTAGCCCAGGAGTGTGAGACCAGCCTGCGCAACATAACAGACTTATTTTCTACAAAAAATTTAGCTGAGTGTGGTGGTGCACACCTGTAGTCCTAGCTACTGCAAGGCTGAGGTGGGAGAATCACTTGAGCCCAGGAGTTCAAGGTTTCAGTGATCTATGATCACCCCACAGCATTCCAGCTCCAGCCTGAGTGACAGAGCAAGACCTTGTCTCTATAAGAAGAAGGAGGAGGAGGAGGAGGAGGAGGAGAAGGAGAAGCAGCAGAAGCAGCAGAAAACTCTTTTTTAAACTTGTTTGTCTCTGAGAAGGGAAACAAGCTAAATGCTATTGGTCAGTAATAACTTGGTAGAAATGCCCTCGGCTGGAATTTTCAGTGCCACAGCAAGTGGAGAGCCAGCATGATGGAGACTGGGCTGATGCAGGGGACTAGGGAGAGGCGGGAGCACCCACTGTGCAGGTAGCTGGATGCGACAAGCATGGTCTCACACTCCTCCTGCTTGCTCTGCGAGTGCCACTTGTGCTCGATTGAGCTGCCCTTCCCCAGGTCCCTCCATTTCTAGCTCCCGTTTGCCACTTAGCCACTCCCTGGCATATTTCAGGCCCTGTCTCAGTCTGCCCACAGCCAGGTCCCCACTACTACTTTGTGGGGACACTGCTGTTGCTCCTCCGTGGACAGAAGGCAATTCAGATGCCATCTCTGTGGCAGAGTGAGAGCTGCATGCCTCAGATCCCTGGGGAAGCCTCTCAGTGAGGCTGCAATTCCAGGTCACCATTTAGGGCTCCCATCCACAGCACTAACTGGCCGCCTTCTGAAAGATACTGAGTTTGGTCGTGTTAGAGCAACTTTTTTTTGAGGACCTCAAAGTGGCTTCATATCTCCATCTCCCTGCAGCCGATAACTTTTCTGGTAAGGCTTCAGAGGACAGAGATGGGGGCCCATCACAGAGACAGCCAGGCCTGTGGTGGTCCTGTCCTGGAGAAAAGGGTGCCTTCTGGCTCCCAGCTCTGCCTCCCAGATGGTGGCTGTCCCTTGTCCCAGTGGGCTCTGGCTCCCAAATGCTGAGCTCTGATGCAGCAGATGTGAATAAAGCCACAGACTGAGAGTGAATCTCTAACCGACACCTGTGCATGATCACTAGAAGGAGGCTCAGAGGAGACAGCCTTTCCCAGCAGGCAAAAGGAGACAAAGAGATGACTTTTCCATATGAGAATTATTTTCTGTGATTTAATATGACTCATTTATTGACTGCTTTCAAAACCCTGTGTTGCTGTGGTTGCAAAGGGAGAATGGTCACTGTCTTAGTCCATTCCAGCTGCTATAACAAAATGCCTTGGGCTGGGCATCTTCCAAGACACAGAAACTCCTTCCTCACTGCTGTGGAGGCTGGAACTCCATGAAGAAGGTGCCAAAGATTCCGTGTCTGGTGAGGGCTCATTTTCTGGTCCACAGACGGCACCTTCTTTCTGTGTCCTCACATGGTGGAAGGGATGAGGGAGCTCTCTGGGATCTCTTTTATAAGGCCACTCATCCAACTCATGAGGGCCCCACCCTCATGGGCTAATCACCTCCCAAAGGCCCCAACTCCAAATATCATCACATTGGAGGTTAAAATTTCAAAATATGAATGTTGGGGTGAGGGGGGGACAAACATTCAGACCATAGCAGTCCCCTTAACTTGTTTGTTTCTCTCACTTCCTTTCTTTGAAAGAAAGTTCCAATACACTGAGTGCTTCCCAAGAGCTCTCACACATAATCACACCATGCCTGCCATCCACTCTCTTAAGTACTACTGGTTTTCTTTACAACATTGATGGGGGAGAGAAGCTGGATTATGGAAGAAACTTTTACTTGTTTGTCTAGAAAATGTAAAAGAAGATAACAACAATTTTGAGCAACGGGAAAATGTAAATTTCTAAAAATCTTATCCAAGTGCTGGCAAGAAGAGGAACAGGGATTTATCTCTCCTCTCTGTCTGTCCCTGGAGCCCATGTTTTGTCCCCGCACCTCACCACCTCTTGCTCATTCTCCCTCTCAAACCCCTACCTGGAAACACGTGGCAATAATCTCAATTATGATAGCAGTGCAGAAGGAGGATCCCTATTTTACTGATGAGGTAAATGAATAACCTGTCCAAGGACAGAAACAAATAGGAAGCAGGCTAGGATGCAAACCTGGTCCCTGAGTGCATGACATCAGCCCAGCATGACCAGGGCAGTCCTAAGTCCTTCACCAGCCTGCCTGAATGGACAAATAAGTGTTCCCCTCCCAGCTCCACCACTGGGGACCTGACCCCTTCCCCGTCCTGCCTTCTTGGGATATCTGAGGACCAGAGAGGTAGCTCTCGAGACAAGGGCCGGAGGCAGCAAAAGGAAAGGGCGACATGGCCCGCTCTCACACTATCCACCCAGCACACACTGACTGTCTGAGAGCTGAACCCTCAGACTAAGGCACTCCCCCACTTTCACTTTGACAGGAGTTCTCTGCTCCTGCTGGCTCTTCTAGTTTTCTTGGCATTCTAGTCTTGCCAGGTGGCAGCACTTTGCTGAAACACTTGTGCAATCTCTATTCTTGAGCCGGTTCCGTGAAGAGCTAGCCTTGCCAGGCAGGCTAGCCAGGCGGGAAGGAGGACAGCCCCACCCTGTGCATCCTGAACCCACCAGCCTGGGACCAGGGGTAGTCCAGGCATGCTTGAGGTCATTCCTCAGTTTCCTACCCATCAGCCATGATCTCTCTCTGGCATTTCCACATCATTTGTATCCTTGTGTTTCTGCACCATCCTCTAATTATTTTTTCTAAATTCCTCTGGAAGAGGATTTGTGAACATTGCTATATCCCTAGTTCTAAGAATACATGAATTGTAACTAAAAAGAATTTATTAATTCCCAATTTACAAAGTGCTTTTCATAGATTGCCATTGTGCTGGTAATTCCTTTCCATTACTCTCCTGATTGTCCTCTAAATGTGCTAGCTAGCTCTTTCTCCTTCTGATTGGTCCTCAGTGAGCCATGGTTACATCAGGCCAGGGTTCCATCCAGTGGAGCTCCCAGTTGGGCAGTGGTGGGCACAGCGAGCCCAACTAGTCTGGTTGAATCCAGAGTCGAAGTTCTCCACCCTCCACTTGGGCCACCCACTGGGGACGGAGCATAAAGGGGTATGCCCTTATTTTCTTTTGTTTTTTTTTTTAACTCATTATTATGGAAAATTTCAAATATATATAAAATTACAGACAATATTTAATAATCCAACATATCCATTACCTGGTTTTAATAATTATCAACACATGGCAGACAGTATTTTGTCTATACACCCAGCAATTAACTGCTGCCTACCCTGACTATGGTATAACAAATACTAGTATGAACAAATATCATATCATTGCATATCTAAGTATTTCAATTGATAAGGGCTGTTTTTAAAAATATATGATTATGATAACATCATTCTTACTTTTTAAGAAATTAATGTTAGTCCTTAGTCTCATAATATACCCAGCCAGTGTTTGCATTTTCCCAATTGTCTTGTAATTTGTACTTCATTTGTTTGACTCTGGATTTAATAAGAGATTCATATACTGAGATTGGTTGATTTGTCTCTGAAGTTTCTTTCTATCTACATATTCTATAAATCCTCCTTCTTCTTCTTCTTTCTTCCTCTTCCTCTTCCTCCTCCTCCTCCTCTTCCTCCTCTTCCTCTTCCTCTTCCTCTTCTTCTTCTTCTTCTTGTTCTTGTTCTTCTTCTTCAATACAGTTTCATTCTGTCCCCCAGGCTGGAGTGCAGTGGCACAATCACGGCTCACTGCAGCCTCAACCTCCTGGGCTCAAGCAATCTTCCCACCTCAGGCTCCCAAACAGCCAGGACTACAGGTGGGTGCCACTATGCCCAGTGAATTTTTTTTTAATTTTTAGTAGAGATGAGGTCTCATTATGTGGCCCAGGCTGAACTCCTGAGCTCGAGCGATCCCGCCACCTCAGCTTCCCAAAGTGCTAGGATTACAGGCATGGGCACCTACACTTGGCCTTTTTTTCTTTACAAATTCTTATTGGAGAAGAAACCAGGTCATTTGTCCTGCAGTTTCCCCCAGTCTGGACTTGCTGCTATGTTCTTATGGTGTCATTTAACATGTCCCTCTGACCCTTGGATTTTTTTAAAAAGTGGAAATTAGATCTAAAGGACCTAGATCACATTGAGGGTTGATTTTCTTTTCCTAGGCGTGTGTTTCCATCAGGAATGACCTTGACTCTTAGGACCCTTGAATGGAAGATACTTCAGAGAATATGACTCCATCCAGGGCAAGGGTATTTGGTGGGAATATCAAAGGGAAATTCCCAGTGAGAGAAGAAGGACACTGGGGGTAAGACTGAAAAGTCTAAACTCTGTCTACCTCTGAGGCTGGCCCCTGTGACAACCACAAGTTGACCTGAAGCAGGCTGAAGTAGACTGTGTGATGTATTTTAACTTA
Source organism: Homo sapiens (assembly GCF_000001405.40). Lineage (NCBI taxonomy): Eukaryota > Metazoa > Chordata > Mammalia > Primates > Hominidae > Homo > Homo sapiens. Next base: position 229,022,003 of record NC_000001.11, read on the forward strand.
AGTAATAGCAATTTTAGGATGTAAAGGCATCTCGTGTTGAGGCAACAGGAGGCCAACTTTATACATATTTGTATCTTGCCACAAACCCAGCATCATGCCAGGTGAGAAGCAAAGAAGATATCCCGATCTGATTTATTAGAGGCCTGTTTCACATCTCAATGTGACGTTTGTGGATGCTACTATCAAAATTTTTGTCCACATGTGTTTGTAAATATACACTCACAGACAACTTGTGACTTAGAGGGACACCGTGGAGTCTCACAGGCTTTAGCATTAGAGGGATATGGGTTCAAATCTAGCTTCTGCCACCCTCTAGCTGAGTAACTGTAGACAAAAGCTTTGGTCTCCTTGTCAGAAAAATTGGGATATTGTATCATTATTTACCTTATGGGTTGTGAATTTTAGAGAAAATTAGTATAAAATGCCTAGTATAGTGCTCTCAATAAATGCACACATGCTATCACTGTCTCAGGCAGTAGGTTCTATTGAATCACATTCTTCTACAACTGGAAAACAGCAATGTAGATGATCTCCTAGGGGTTGGGAGGGGATGATCTGTGAAAGTGTTGGAGCCATCTAGACACACTGAGTGGAGATGTAATTTGAGCCTGGGAGAGAATTCTCAAGTCAGTTCAAAGGGCTATAATTTCATTAATTCAAAATCCCACTTAAGTTGGGGAAAATGAGGTCCTAGGAGAGAAGCCAGATGTCAAGGACAAGCCCAGTTAGTGGATGAACTTTTTTGTAGCCAGCTGCCTCCCCAGGGCTCCCTGAACAAAGCATGCATTGTAGCTGCTGCGTGGGCCCCATGGCAGGAGGAGTACCCGGGAGCCAGAGCCTGGTGCATGGGGAGGAGGCGGGCCAGGGCCGCAGGGAGAGGCTTGGATGCCCTGGAAACACAACTGGATCAATTCAGCCTGACAAAATCTTTCCTCCTGCTAAAATTTTCCTCAAACAGAACAAAAGGGAAAGTCAGAGCATTTTTGCCAAATCAACCAGAGAAAGGAAAGCTGGCGCAAAGTTAATCACTATTTTCTTCCTGGCTGTCCAGGCCAGAGATACCCATGATGGGAGCAAGAACACTTGTCATCACCCGCTTGGTCACTATGGATGACATAGGAGCCCTTTCCTTGCAAACAAGCAATACAGAAAAGGAAGTGCCTGGGTCCCAACCCTGTAGGGTGCAGCCAGAACCCACAATGCACTATTCTCTGCAGATCAAGAGGCTTCTAATCTTACCTTGACTCACCGCCTTATCCAAACAGCAGAGCCCCTGCAAAACCCCTCTTTTGGAGAAGGAAATCTCGGGTGGGATAATTCATTGCAAACATCATTGATTAGTCCAGGGAGAGGTCAGGAGCTCCCTGGGGCAGGCACATCACTCTAGTCATGAAGGAAAAGACTCCACCATGGTGCCCTTTAGCATCACTAAGAAACGATTTCTAGACTGCTGGTCTGTCCTGCCAAAGCAAAATTACTCACAAGATATAACAGGCACTAGGTACAACAGTGTAGCACCAGCTTTTGCATAAAAAAGCTTAACTTTGAGTTGGGGATATGCCACTTCCAAGCAGTTGAACCTTGATCAATGCATTGACCCTCAGGGAGCCTCGGATTTCTCATTTATGAGGTGGACAGAATCAGAGGATGGTGAACGGCGTGGAGCAGAGGCAAGGAGGGTCTCCTTGGCTCATCTGCTGGGTCTGCTGCAGCCTACAGAGAAACCACAGGCTGTCGTACGCACATAACTCAGTAGTCCACTTCCTCTCTGGGACACACAGCAGTCCACAGCCTTGCTCCCATGGAGACAGCCAGCACAGCCTGCAGGCCATCAGCCCAGGAAGGGAACTGGCAAATTTTAGAGCACTAAGACGGCAGCTGATACAGATACTCGGTCGGCCCAGGCCACACCAGCATCCAGGTGACTGGGTCCTGCCAGATGGAGCATGGGACAACATAAAACTCCCAGCATCCACTTCTCTAAAGGGGAGAGTGTGCACACTAAGCCCACAGACACCTTCACGTCCAACATCGCCATCAACGCACCCAGGGCAGGGCAGTTCCTGGGATGTGGACCTGAGCCACAGCCTGGCCTTGTCAGTGCACCAGGTTCTGGGAGAGCAGCCAGACACAGAATGGTGGCAGATGCTCCACTCCTTAAAGAAACAGCAAATTGCGCAGTCCTTCCCTATTTCCCAGGCCTGGGGACTCCTCACATGAGCATGGTAAAAAATTTATATACTTATTCAGAGGTTTAAAAATCCCCCAAATATATAAATACACCAGCAAATCAAATGGCATTGCCATAAGGAGAGCATCCTTGGAATTTATCTATCCGTCTTTCAATTGGCCATTTAGCTCAGTTTGGGCCCTTAACAATACAAGCATGATAAGGTCTCGTCACTGTGTCTCCAGGATCTGATCACTGCAGACCCTGGGCAGTGATTAGGGAGCATGGGCTCTGGAGGACCAGCGCCTCTGACTCTCTATGGCCCCGGGCAAGTCTCCAGGTCTCCATTGCCTCACCTCTAAAGTGAACGTAGAGTCTAGAACGTAAGCCAGTGCGTGCTGACGGTCCCCACACCGCACTGCCAGGGGCCTCGGGCTCTGCTCTAGCAGCTTGGCCTGGACCACGGAGCTCTTTGACCAGGACCTGCTCCACCTGAGGCTGATGCCCTCATGGTGCTGCCTGGCCCAGCCACGCCCATGATCCTTTTCCAGGGTCCCGGAGAAGGAGAAGAACTTCCTTTCTGGTCCTTCCCATTCTGCTCCTGGGTTCAACCAAGCAGCTTCTAGGCAGCTCTGATGACTCAGCAGCAGTGACTCACAGGTTCCCAGGACAGCAGATGAATCCTCTGCTTCTCTGGCTCCCTCTCCGTCCCCTGGCTCTTCCTGGCAATGTGCTTTCACTCAGCCTTGGGCCCACTTTCCCATCCCTCTGGGGACATACCCCCTCGCTTGTCCTGAGACCCACAGTTGAGACCCACACCTGGGCTCCAGCCTCTCTACTGTTCTTTTTACTTCCCAAGCTGGCCCATGGTCCCTTCAGGCTCAGCTCTCCAGGGATCTGCTACCCCGTTCCTGCCTCCGGGACCCACTCCACCCTCCTGGCACTGGCTGGGTCCTGGTGGAGGAGCTACCACAGGCAGCAGAGAAGCAGAATTCTGCTGAGAGCTGTGACCCGAGGACACTGGGCCCCACCAAGCCCACGGTGCAGACCCTGGACTGCTAGAGAGGATGGCAGCACCATCCCCTCCAGGAAGAGCCACCAGGCCTGGAGGAAAACCTGCGCCTCTGAGAGCCTCAAAGGAGCTGTGCCAGTCAGAAGGTGCCGCTCAATGGTCCTGGTCCTCTGGGGGTGACAGGGTCACACTGCGAGCCGGACTTTACACAGCACATCAGTGTGAAGGATGCCAGCATCCTTGTCTGTCATCTTCCTAATTATGAGCCTGCTCAACCCCTCCCCAGCCACCTAGCTCATGCAGGGCCTTCGCTTCTTTGGGCCTTTCCCTCCTTCATGCCATGAGAAGTAAAGGCCAAGAAGGGTCGCAGGACATAGGCCCTGGGGGCTAGGAGCAACCGCCAGTGTGGATGTGTGCATACTAAACCCAGGGCAGGGCAAAGAGAAACACTAGGACCCAGAAACATCTGTCTCAGAAGTGCTTTCATCCTGCTGGGATACACTAAGGTACAGGCAGGAAGAAAGCCCCATGCCTGAAGGGGAAGCTACTGAAGACACAGCAGGTGGCTGAGCAGTGCCACAGGTGACAGCTCACTGCTGGGCTTGTTCCTGCACTACCTTCCCTGGTTTGTCCCCTGGGATGCTGGGGAAAGAAATTATGTTGGGATTTTTTCTATAAATAATTTCCTGTCATTGTGTGTAATGATTGGCGAATAATTTCACAACAACTGGCTGTTTCTTTGTTGCATTCTAAACTTGAGCAGCACTGTGGATCATCAGCATTTTCTGTCTCCCCGCCATTTGAAAAGAACAGTTTCCTGGGACAATTCCTTGAGCCCAGGTCGAGGCTGCGGTGAGCTATGATCACGCCACTGCTCTCCAGCCTGGGTGACGAAGTGAGACTCCATCTCTAAAATATAAATAAATAAATAAATAGCAAAATGTTTCCCTTTCTCCATAAGAAAAATGCTTTTAAAAATTTCTCCTCAGATGCAAACATGTTAAACCCAAGTAAATGTCCCTTCACCTGGGTAGGCCTCAAAGGAAAAGTTTCAGCCACCTGAAATGCCAGTTAGCTGGTCAGCCTGTAAGACGCTTGTTTATTTGTAAAGAAATAGCCCATTCTGCGCAGTCTCAACAGTGGCCCTGGGAAACGGCAGCCCTGCTTTTATTTTTAAACCTCAAAGTTCATCTTAGAGATAAAGCTTTCTTTTCTCATGAGAGGCTGAGTGTCGTACATGGGTATGAAGGTGTAACATAGGCCTTAGACAATCATTTGTAACCTTAGAGGCAACAGGAACATTCAGAGCTGCCTGCCAGGCCCAGACACTCAAAGTGCTACAAAGTCGCCGATCTTTGTGCTTTGGGAGATCAAGTAGTTCCCTTCCCCAGGGCTATATTTCAACCAGGGTTGAGTTCATCTTTGTGCTTGTTTTTTCCCAAATAGCTCACTTTCTGATTTTTTTGGCTTAATAGTGAGATTATTTAAGAGGCACCAAAAGAAAAAGCTCAGTGAAAAAATTGTTTTAGCAATAGAATGAGTTAGTATGAATCCCAGTGCTCATCATAATATTGACTGTTATACACATAAAATACGAATGGCGAAAGAATAAGAGGGGTTCCTTTTTTCTTCTTCTTCTTCTCGAGATGGAGTCTTGCTCTGTCGCCCAGGCTGGAGTGCAATGGCACGATCTCAGCTCACTGCAACCTCCGCCTCCTGGATTCAAGTGATTCTCCTTCCTCAGCCTCCCGAGTAGCTGGGATTACAGGCGTGTGCCACCACACCCTGCTAATTTTTTGTATTTTTAGTAGAGACAGGGTTTCACCACATTGGCCAGGCTGGTCTCAAACTCCTGATCTCGTGATCCACCCACCTCGGCCTCCCAAAGTGCTGGGATTATAGGTGTGAGCCACTGCGCCTGGCCAAGACGGGTTCTTTAACAGTGGAAATAGAAACGTCATCTTCTGCAACGCTGAGCATCTGCAAAGCCCCCCACAGACAGTCTACTCAGGTGAGAACTGAATTTCCTCCCAGAACACTCTCTCCATTGTCATCCTTCCTTCCCCGATCCCAGGTGAATACATGTGGCACAGAGCCCCTCAAAGAGGCCTTCCATTCCCTTGTCCACTAATTTGATTTTCAGAATGTGGAGCCACGTGCCCCCTGGGGCCTGGCCTCTGCTCCCTGCTGCAGGTGCAGAAGCAAACAGACCATGGGGCCATGAAGTTTAACAGGCTGCCCAGGCCCGGGCACTCAGACCCTGCTGCTTCTCCCACCTCCCACCTCGCACCTCCCCACAGCCTTTTCTATCACACAGCCAAGGATTCCTGTTCCCCATCCTCTGTTGCTTATCATTTCTCCTGACCCACGCACAGAAGGGACTCTATTTCTAGGAGCATCAGAGAGAAGCTTTCAAACTTTTTTGCTCATGACCCACAGCAAAAAGTGCATTTTCTGTTGCAATTAAGTGCACATGCACACACAGCTGACTCACATCTAAGTCAAAAGTTTCAGGAAGCAATACTTCCTTTCACTACCTGCAAAGCCTTCTGTTACTTTCTGTTCTACTCTTCCCAGGCCGCACCACCCCCCACATTTCAACAATGCTCGTTGAAATCCACGAAACTGATTTCCCAATCCCCTAACGGTTTATGGTCAGCAATTTGGAAAACACTGGCTGAAATACTAATGAAAGGGCATCGCGGGCCTTCCCTGATGCGAGGGGAGGAAGGAAGGCTTTGCTCAGCTCTACGTTCCCACAGACCCACTTTTCCTGCCCTTTGCCCCACATCCCACCTGCCACTTGTGATTAAATAACAGTTTAACATCACCAAAGCTCCCTTTCACTCAAGAACTAACTCAATTAGGCTTGAGCTGGTGGGAGCTTAAAGCAGATTAAGGGAAGACAAAGGAGGCTTTGGGGTTTATCTTCAGCTTTCATGTTCCTAGGAGCTCTCTCTTCCTGTGCTGAGTCTTAAGCATCAAAGGGAGGGAGGCAGGGAAGGAGAGGAGAGGGGAGGGGAGGGGAGGGGAGGGGAGGGGAGGGGAGGGGAGGAGAGGAGAGGAGAGGAGAGGAGAGGAGAGGAGAGGAGAGGAGGATGGAAGGAAGGAAGGGGAGGGAGGAAGGAAGGAATGAAGGAAAGGATGAAAGGAAGGAAGGAGAGGAGAATGGAAGGGAGGAAGGGGAGGGAGGAAGAGAAGAAAGAGAAGAAAACTCTCCCAAGCCCCCATCATGGGCTGAGGCCAACCAGCACTGCACTGGTCACCCCCACTTTTATTTTTAAACTTCAAAGTGCATCTTGGAGATAAGGCTCTCTTTTCCCATGAGATGCTGAGGGCTGTGTTTGGGTGTGCAGGAATAACGTAGGCCTTAGACAATTACTTGTAACCTTAGAGGTACTGGGAGGGTTCCGGGCTGTGCTGGGCCCAGATACTCAAAGTGCTTCCTGAGGAAGATGTCCGTGGTTCAGCTCAGGGATGGGCACTGCTCCCCACGCTCCTCCAATGGGGCAGCTCCCTGCTCCGACCCCACCTCCCACCTCCCCCAGCAGCTCAGACAGCCATCTGTGCGGCAGATGAGCTGCACACAGAAGGTGCTCGGCAAACACTTGCCGAATCCCCTGAAATGGTCCATCTGGGCCCCTTTACAAATCGAATTCTTTCTAGATCAGTGGCGCCCAACAGAATTATAATGTGAGCCACACACGTCATCTTACATTTTCTAGTGGCTAACTAAGAAGTAATAATAATAAAAAGAAACAGGTGAAATTAACTTTAGCAATATACTTTGTATATAAAAATCATTATCATTCCAACATGTAATCGTATAAAATTTGTAAGATTTTTATAGTCTCTTTTTCTAGTACCAAGGGCTTGAAATTCAGTGTCAGTTTGGAATTGCCACATTTAGAGTGCTCAGTAGCCGCATGGGGCTTGCAGCTACCACCCTGAGCTGCAGCTCTGAACTCTAACCAGGACTCGGGGCAACTGGGGCCCAGGCTGGAGCTCAGCTCAGAAGGAAGGTGCTAGGTGGAGTCCTCCAGCCACAAGTCACAAAGCAGACTGTGTTGGGGGGCCTTTGCCACTGCACCCCCCTCCCCACCGTCCTCACTTGCCTTCCCCACCTGGCACTGTATCTGGTGGGAGGAGATGGGCAGGGCGTGGGAACAGAAGGAATGGATGAGGACTTAGAGATGTGTGAGCAGCTCTCACAGCCATACACTGCCCCTGCTGGGGAGTCCATGTGGACCCCTCAGCTGGGACTGACCCCATCACCTGTAGTGAGACACACCAAGAAACACGCCCCATCAACACAAAAATGTCTGCTAGGCCAAATCTGGCACAAGCTTAGTGACAGCTGAGTTAAATTACTGTATCCATGGTGCAGTCACCAAATACTTGCAGCCCTCAATCATTTTCAGCTGTCTTTTTGGGGACAACAGAGACATATACAGATTGTCAATTCAACATGAGCTCATTTTATTAGACGCAATCAGCCATATGGCACTTTGCGACCAGTAGACGTGCTCCTTTGACAATCAGTGTTATTGAGCCTGCTCAGTAATGAGTTAGCTACTGGTCTTGTCTTCCCTTAGAAGAATCCATTTAACTCCTATGAGTGAGTCAGCTTTTTCCTAAGTGACATCTTTGAGGGGAATGCAATGCCAGCTTGTCACATGCCAGGCTCTGGCGCTCAGTTCCAGAATGTTAGAGCTGGGAAGGTCTTGGTTCTCTCCTAGTCCTGTGGCTTTTGAGCTTTACTTTCTAAGTGCAAAACTTTCTTTCAAATGAAATCTTATGGGGAGGCCTGACTAAGACAGATTCTTCTGTAGGAGCTGGAAGGACAGCACAGAGCTCTCCCTCCCTTCCTCCTCCCCAGGCACCTCTGTGTGGTCAGGGTTTATTAGAAAACCAGCAACGCTAGGCAAGCCACTCATTGTACACATCTTAAAAGCAGGACCCAGAGCAGCTGTGTGTGATATAGTCACACTGTGCCATGACAGAGCCAGGGTTGGAATTCCACTCTCAGATTCTAAGACCTCTACTATTATTATTATTATTATTATTATTTGAGATGGGATCTTGCTATGTTGCCCAGACTAAAGTGCAGTGGCCCTTACAAAGATCTCTATTTTAGTATTTCCAGAGAGTTCCATGGAAGATCTTTGAAAGATACAAATGGTCCCACATGTAGAAACAGGTTATCATGAGGTTTGTTAGAGTTTATTGAGTGCTGTGTGAGAGGCCCCATGCAATGGCTTTCCATGCCAGCCCACAAATTTCAAACTGCAGTAGGAATGGCATTACGTTCCCAGCCTAAATGCAGTTATCCCTAACTGCCCTCAGGACCTGGCATCTAGAGGCTGGGGCACCATGGGGTCCCAAATTCTCTGTGCCCTGAGACCTTGAGTCTATAGAACCAGCATGAATGATATAGAAGTTATTAAGAAATTGTTTTAGGCAGTTAGTGTGGGTAAAAGAGTTCTCAGTGGAATTTCCTTTTAATAAAAAGCAGCCCCCAAACCATTTCTTTTCTAACAGAAAGCAGCCCAAAAGCCAAGCTGCAAGCATAGATAAGCAAGCTGGAAGGTCACATGTGTAAGTGCCAGCAGCTGTACCTGGAAGCCAAGTACATTCCAACATGGTGACTTCCCCTCCCTCTCCTTGTTGTCACCTGTGCAGGTGTCATGGCACCACCAGGTTGAGGCCACATTTGCATAATAAAAGATTAGGGTGGGAGGGCCAGTTTCTTCGAAGGCTGTGTAAATGACATACCTGGCCAAACCAATCCCCTGGGACCTACGTAAATCAAACACCGCCTCCTCAAGCCCCTCTATATAATCAACTGCATCCCACCCCAAACTTAGAAACCCTCTTGGGCACCCCCTTCCTCTGCCTGAGGAAGCTCTCTCTCTCTCTCTTCTTTCTGTGTCTATTAAAGTTTCCGCCCCTTAAACCTACTCCGTGCGTGTGTGTCCATGTCGTTAATCTTGTCGGCTCGAGACAACGAACCTCGGGTATTTCCCCAGACAACGAAGCCACTTCACTCTCAGATTGGCTAATGAGGCCCCTGCTACTGTGGAGCTGGCAGAGGTTTTAGTGGGAAGGGTCAAGAAGGGCCTTCATGGGGCCCTGGGGGTTCCTTAGCAACAGCAGCAGAGGGCTGTAGATAGGTCTATGGATGTCAGGGAAGACTCTAACTGGGGTGGGAAGGCAGATTCCACAGAAAAGGACAGCTAGCTAGCGATAGTCAGGTTCTATTATACATCTGGGAGACCTGTACTTGGCAGGCACTAAATGGGCTATGAGCTAAGGCCTGGGCTGGACCCTGGGGACGGCCACGACATCTGCCTACCAGAATGGGCAGAAAGACCTCCGGGGATGCATCAGATTCTTCATCTGCCTCCCCATCTGCTCAGACTGTCTCTAACCACCTACCACCATTGTCCTGGTTGAGCAGAAGAGGAACATAAGCCAGGCCCGTGTGCAGAGGTCCATGCCTGTAATCCCAGTGCTTTGGGGGGCTGAGGCAGAAGGATCACTTGAGGCCAGGAGTTCAAGACCAGCCTGGGTAACACAGTGAGACCCTGTCTCTACAAAAAATAATAATTATCCAGGCATGGTGGTGTGGGTCTGTAGTCCTAGCTACTTCGGAGGCTGAAGTGGGAGGGTTTGTTGGGTTCAGGAGTTCAAGGCCACAGTGAGCTATGATTGTGCCACTGCACTCCACCCTGGGTGACAATGAGACCTTGTCTCTAAAAAAGAAAAAAGAACATAAGCCGATATCAAAGACCACAGAGGTGCAAGTCAGGGCCAAAAAGGGACCAACAAGGCGTTGCTGGGCTTCCCTGAAGGAGGTCCTGGAGCCCCCAGAGGCTGGCCGGCCTGGGCTAGGACGGGGCTGTCGTTATGGCTCTAATCTATTGCCATTACCACCCCCACCCAGCCCCCTACTCCCCCACTCCCCTACATACACACCAAGTCCCTGCCTAGGTCAGGCGGGCTGAGCCAAGACAAACACAGCACATGAGCTCACTATTCTGAGGCTGCAGCTCAGATGTGCTATCTGAAATGTGGGGTTTGGACTGGGGTCTTAACCGGAAAAAATAAGCAAGAAATTTTGAAACAAAAGAAAATGTTAACTTGAACCATTTCAGGGATCACTTTACCTTAAAGCTGTTCAGATTCAAACATTGCTAATGGCAAAGCCAAGATTTAAATGGGCCCATTGGGAAAAGAAGTAAAATGGGGGGATTTCCAGGAATGGATAAGAAGGTTAGAATCTGCAGTACATTAAAATTTTAAAAGGATAAAAGGTAGAAAACCAGCCCCAGGAGATTGCCATGAACTCTGACATGAGGGGGTTGGAGCACAAGCCCCACCTTTCCTTCTGCAATTGCAGATTTCCAGGATTCAATTCCATTTCAATTGCCTCATTTCCTTTTTCTCTTTCTTTGTTGCACAGTGATAGTTTGGAAAGTGGGAGGGACAGGCTAGAGGAGAAAGGGCTGGGGATAATGGGAGACAGTGTGGTAAAGAGGAGCACCACAGTACTCCGTCCCTAAAGAAGGGACTCAGAATGGGCAGCTCCTCAGAGCCAGCAGGTGAGGCCAAGTACACCAGCTTCTTGGTGCATTTTCAGTGACAGGTCATTTTCCTCCTACAAGTGCGTGTCTCCCTATCCAGGGAAAGAGCAATAGTAGGTGAAGGTTGTTAGTTGCCTGAGCAGAGAAATGGAGGCTTGATGTTAAGTTGAGACCAGATCTCAGTGAGCTTTGAAAGCTGTGAGAGTTTGGACCTTATTCCATAGGTGAGGGTCCGCAATCACATACAGATCTGTGGATGCTCTGGAGGAGTTTACATTCTCACGAGAAGGACAAGCAATTAACTATCTAAGCTATTGCATTTAATTAATTAACCTTGGCAAGCCCTACCAAGGACAAGTATGAGTTACCCTGACAGCAGATAATGGGGACAGGACTTCCTCTGTGGTTACCGACAGGAGATGACCCAAATTAGGGGGAGGAAGAGCATGAGTTTAGTCTGGGAATTGTTGAGCTTGAAAGGGGCTGTAGATGCCCAGTGGCAAAGGAAAGCAGACAGTTAAAATTGGATTAGCTATGCCAATCTAGAGCTCAGAAAGAAAGAGAGAGCTACAGATATGGTTGGAATTGAAGGCATGGACATAGATGGATGGGATTATTTGGGAAGAATATAGAGACATATGAGGGTCTAGAATGGAACCTTCACAATAACATTTGAAAGTCAGGTAGGGAAGGATAAATCAGCAAACGAGACTAAGGAAGCATGTGTCTGATCCATTGATTATTGTGTTCCCTAGAACCAAGCCCAGTACTTGGCATAGAGTAATCAATAAACATTTATTGAATTGAAACGTATATCATCTTGATTGTCTTTTCCCAGTGAAAAAACAAGCTGTGTTAATCAGCTATTGCTGCAATGGTGTTGTGTAACAAACGACCCCACAGCTCAGAGATTCTCTAGCTTCACAGCTAGCTCCAGTCTGTTCACATCTCCCAGCTGGGGCTGAGCCTGAAGGGCAGTGGTTACTCATGCTCTCATGGCAAGCACTTTTAGAGCCAGTGCCCGCATCATGCCCACCCACATTCCATTGGCAAGCCATAGCCAATCCCAAAATCAAAGAGACAAGTCGTAGATGAGAATGAGCACTTACTTTAGACCCTGAGCAATTTGTGTTCAAATCCTGGATCTACCACTAATAAATGCATCAACTAAGTCAACTTACTTAACCTATCTGAGCCTCATTTTCCACACCTTTAAAACAGGTGTAATAATAGCTCCTTTAGGGGTCTTGAGGATTAAACATGATATACATGAAGAACTTATGACACCTGGTAAGTGAGAAATAACCAGTAGCTACTGTGATCTCTGACCTCCCCTTCTAACTGTAGCCCTGAATCTCAAAAGCTTGGATGCTTTAACCAGAGCTCCATGCTCACATCTCAGGTGGGGTTGTGCCCACATCCCCCAGCAGCTCAGGAGAAAAGCTCACCCTGAATTCCGTCTCTGAGACACACCCTGGGGCAGGAAAGGGAGCAGAAAAAATAATCAAGAAGTCTTGAGGCAGGGTCCAATTCAGCCATTTACCAAATGCCTCCCAGATTTGCTGGAGCTGATGTTTAGTTTTTATCCAGTCCAAACCCACACTTTTGCCTGGAGGCATCCTTATGAGAAGTCCTCTTACTTTCCAGGCCCAGCTTTTAGTTCTGCCTGTGTTTTGAGTGATACCAAAGTACTAATGGGGAATAAAATTATGCAAGCAGACAGCTTTTCCAAATGGGACTTTTCCCAGACTGCATTTGAACTAGACCTTGGCCTGAAACGCAATATCCAGAGCTTTCTTTGTAGCTTTCTTTATGGCTTGAGAAGTCTTTTTCCATGCACGCTTATGTAAAGATGAAGAATTTATAAGATTCAATGAGATGTCTGGCATCAGTCCCGGCTGTATCTACTGAAGGCTGTTTTCTTTTCTCCATATCCACTGTTTAGTAAATTACCAGAGTAGCCATCAGGAAATAGATGATCAGTGATATTGCCATCATCATTATTTCATAATGGCCATTCAATATGTTTTTCTTTATAGCTCTTAAGAAATGTACTTCTGTAATTCAGCATCCTTTCTCAAATTTTAAGCAGCAGGTTTTCTTTGACATTAATTCATTTACTCTACAAGTATTTATTGAGCACTTACCTGTGTCAGGCACATGGTAAGGGCTGAGAATTTAGTAGTAAATAACTACTGCAGCCACTGCCCTTGTGGCGAGTATAGATGAGGAAACAGAGTCTCAAAAAGAGTAAAGTTTGGCCAAAGTCACAACACAAGTTTGAGCTGAAATTGGAAGTCATATATGCCAACAGGACCAGCTTCATAACTTGCAAAGCCCAGTGGTAGATGAAAATATAGGCACTTGTCCAAAAACGACTAAGAATTTCAAGACAGCAACATCCAAGCATTAAACCAAGTGCAGGACCCTGTCCCACACCCAGGTAGCTGGCGCCGTGCTCTGAGTCATAATTTTTAAATCAGTTTTGACTAATTCTGTACTTAAATGACCATGAAAAAGTGATGGGAGGGGTGTACTGTGGAGTAAGGATGAAACCACCAATAATCTTGAGCTAAGGAACAAACAGGAAATTCACATATGGTATTTCTGTTTGCTGGCCCCTTTTTCAGAGTTAAATGTTTAGACATAGTCCTACCTTGATAAATTTTTCACAGCAGAACACCCCAACTGGGATTTCCAAATCCTTCCATCACACACGGAGGAGCTAGGATTTGCAAACCCACTTGTCTGTATACCAATCCTGTGGGGAAAGACCTTACACATGTAAATAGCCAAACCAGACCAGTGTATGAATCGGTTGGTCGGTCAAGCAAGCACTGACATACTAGCAGGAGTTCTGCCTGTGGTTTTTTTGGTTTATTTCTTTGCAAAGACAACATCAGCTACCAAAGAAAAGGAAACAACTCCACCCTTTACTTGAGATTGTGCACCAAAGTCAGCCTGATTAAACCAGGAGGTTTTGCCCTGTTTTCTGATGGAGATGTGCCCCTACCTTGTTCACTCTGCAGGAAGGCAAAGCATGGGTTTGTTGACCTCATAGCTAATTCATTTGACTGGAGCTAGTGTATGGGAAGATACAGGAGTAGAGGGGAAGATAGATGCACTAATCAGACAGCATACATGGCTGGCCTGCTATCAGCAGTCTGGCCTTCATCTCAACAGACGTTTACTCTACAAAATTGGAAAAACCACTTCACTCTCTGAGCCTGCTCTCCCACCTGTGAAATGGGAAAGTGGGACCAAGTCAAATAAAAATCTCCCAGTTGTCATTGCCATCTGGTAATCGTGCACATCCTCTGGGCTTGGAGCAGCTCCTCTTTCCCATAGTCCCAGGAAAGAGATCCTGGCTCTCAGAGAAAGTGAGGAGAGAACATTTTAAATGCCTTTGTTTCATAACTGCAAACCGGAAGGCCTTGCAGCCTTGACCAGACAGACATCTTAGGGAGGTTTCCTTCCCTCCTCTGATTCCCCTGGGGGACTGGGACTGAAAGATACAAACTGAGGTCCTGCGAGTAGTCATTGCGACCAGTCCTCATCTGGGAAGTGTGTTCCCACAGCACTGGGAGCTGTCCTCTGCCAGCTTAGTTTTTTTTCTCACTTGTTTTAATGGTTCACACACCCACTCCATGTCTGTCTGATTTTCAGGCCACAATGCCCAAGTGTGACCCCAGAAACTCCTTGGTCTCACTGTCTCACAAGGTCAGGTGAAGAGGAAAGAGTAGCTACCTGTTAGAAAGGGTATCCTCTTTCCTTTACCCCTTCTCCTTGTCTACTTTTTCTTCCATTAGTTCTTCCATTTAAAACTCATTTTCAAAAGCTCCCAAATTGCTACTTGGCAGCAGATGGGGCACTGAAAAGAGGAATGACAGGAAAGGTGGAGCCCATCTGATTGACTTTTCCTCCTTCATTGCAACTTTCTCAGGGTTCTCTGCATTACACATTTCAAAAGGAAAGTTCTGGGCACCATCCTTGGTCATGGTGGGAATTTAATTGACTTGGACTCAGGTGGCACTGGAGCCAACTGGAAGCCACCAAGCTCTGTTCTCTCTCCAGTTCCTCAACTAACTAGAAGGCTGATCCTAAATGTAAAGCCCTTTAGATCTAAAACCAGCAGGAGAGGAAGGGTGGGTAGAAAGACCTGCCCCACAAGAGATTGTGAGGGTGTTGGAAGGAGTTCACCAAACTGTGAGCTCCTTAGAGGGAATAATGAGGCCAGGTGCTGAGTTTTTTAAAGTGGGAGGTAAAGAGGGGATTGATCAATGTGGGGGAGTAACAGAGTGAGAGGGGAATTTCTCTGCCCTTTTGGACAAGGAAAAATAATTAGTCATCCCCCCTCTGCCCACTTCGTAACATACATACATGTGTGTTACACCACAAATGGGTAAAAAAATAATAACACTAAAGTCGAAGTTTCCACCAGATTGGTAAAGTAGCTGTGAAGAATTTTAAATGGTTTTGAGTAAAGTTTCCAAGGAAAGGAGAGACATACCCTCACAGTAGTTTTTCTCCAGAAGGACTTTGGGCCCGTTTACAATCTCCCTCTTTCAACTTCTCAACAAAAATATCAGTTTGAAGTCTGATCAGGCACCTGCAGTAGAGTGTCCTTGCAGATGGTCCCAGGATACACAGCAGCCTGTCCAAGGGTTTATGTGTTTATTCTCTACTTCGTTCTCCTCACAAATCATACATTTGTGATGTTTCTCCTCATAAATCATACATTTTCTACTTCGTTCTCCTTTGTATCTGAGAATAACGTTCTCTTCGTTATTCTCAGTTACAAAGATCTGAGGAGGCATTCAGACGAAATAGATATGACAATATCTATGTGTTAATACACATGATTAAAGACTTTGTTGGTGCTGGAATACCAGCAAAATGATAGACTAGGAAGCTCCTAATTTGCATTTCCCCACAGAAGAATTTTTTAAAACCTAGAAACTTTCTGAACCAATTTTGTCACAGCACTGGAAAACAGTTAAAGGTTTACAGCAATCAAGTGAAGGCCCAATCAAGAAAAAGTCATCTTCAAAATGGCAGGGAAGTTTTGTGTTTTAACTCACCCTGGCCCCATCCTCTCCCCGGTGTGGCAGCAGTCTTTGTCTTGAAACACAGCAGCCAGCCTTGTTCCAATTTCCTCCTTGTAAACTGGAAGAATCAGAGCAGATATTACTTGCGAATTATTATATACATGTCTTTTAAACTGTCTGGGAGATAAGTGAAGGACTGACTCACTAATCTGTGTTACCTAACTCAGAACACAGCTGGAAAAATAAGTGGACACTGTTAATAAAAGCTGCAAGATCACTATAGGCTCATGGCCTGGGCAAGAGATTTTGAGTGGAGCCATAGAGTAGACCATCTAAGGCCCAGATGAGAAGCTGGAGTAAGACTCTTTGGGAAATTAGGACACTCAAAAGCAGCTGTTACGAGAGAATTTAGAAAGCCATGTGCATGCCCAGGCAAGACACAGGCTCACAAAGTCTGAAGAAAGCCTTAGGCTTTACCTGAAGCTGATCCCTAGGGTCTGAATAAGCCTCGCTAGTCTTGAAAGAGTGCTCTAGTACAGAGGCTATCTGAAAAGACTGCAAGAGCCCTTAGGATTGAAGGAAATCTCTGTCAAAGCATTAGCTGAACACAAACTAAAGGAATACAGACTTCAGTGATTACATGTGACAAGGAATAGTCTTGGGAAAACAGTCTGAAAAACTCTCAGACATTGATGCCACAGGCTTCAACAATTTTTACAAAAAAAAAAACACAAACAAACAAACAAAAAACAGTGACCTCTGGGGAAGGAAAAGATTCTGATTTTCAGAGTTACCACATTGTAACAGTGAGATGTTCAATGTTTACAAAAAACACAAGGTATACAAAGAAACAGGAAAACATGGTTCACGCAAGTAAAAAATGAAAAAAAAAAAGATATTGACAGAAACCAACCCTGTGGAAACCCAGACATCAGACTTACTACACAAAAACCTTAAAACAGCTGTTTTAAAGATGCTCAAATAACTAAAGGAAAACACAGGCAAACCACTAAAGGAAATCAGAAAAATGATAGATGAGCAAAATGTCAATATTACCAGAGACCAAAATTTTAAGAAATACCAAACAAATTTTGGAACTGTAAGTACAATAACTGAAATGAAAATTTCACTACATGTATTTAACAGCAGATTCAATTTCAACAGGCACAAGAAAGATATATGAACTTGAAGACAAGACAATTGAAATTATCTTGTCTGAAGAATGGAAAGAAAAAAGAATGAAGAAAAGTGAACAGAGCCTAAGAGATTTGTGGGACACCATTAAGAGACTCGTGGGAATCTAAGAGACTTGTGGGACAAACACAAATTAGGGAAGTTCCAGAAGGAGAAGAGAGAAAGGAAGGGAAAGAAAGAAAATTGAAAAAAATAATGGCTAAAAACTCCCCAAATTTGATGCCAGACATGAATGCACAAATTCATGAAACTTGATGAACTCTAAGTAGGATAAACTCAAAGAGAACCATACAAAGACACATTATAATCAACTGCCAAAAGACAAAGAAAGAATATTGAAAGTAGCAAGAGAGAAGCAAGTCATAACATACAAAGAATGCTCCGTAAGATTATCAGCAGAATTATCATTAGAAACTTTGGATCTCAGGAAGCAATGAACAGATAGCGTAAAGTGTTGAAAGGAAAGTGACCTGTCAAATGAGAATTTTATATGCATAAAAATTGTCTTCCAAAAATGAGAAATTAAGACATTCCCAGATAAACAAAAACTGGGGGAGTTCATTACCTATCCTATGGGAAATGCTAAAGGGAGCCCTTGAAGTTGTAATTAAAGAAAACTATACAGTAACTCAAAGCCATATGAAGAAATAAAGATCTCTGTAAATGTAAATACATGGGCAAGTATAAAGCCAGTATTTCTAAAATTTTGAACTTATTTTCTACTGGGATTAAAAAAAGAAGGGATAAAATAATTATAAATCTATGTTATTGAGCACACAATGTTTAAAGATGTCATGTATGATTTGTGACATTAATGACATGAAGGGGAGGATGAAGCTATGTAGGAGTAGTTTTTGTGTGTGATTGAAGTTAAGTTGGTGGTAATTAAATCTAATTGTTATAACTTTAGGAGGTTATATATGGTAACCACATATGGTAACCACAAAGAAAATATCTATAGAATATACACAAAAGTAAATGGGAAGGGAATAAAAATGTATCACTACAAAAAATCAACTAAATACAAAAGAAGGTAGTAATGAAAGAAATGAGATAAATGATAATGAAATACAACATATCAAAACTTACGGGATGCATAACTTCAAAGTATATATGTTTACAGTAACCAAACCAGCATGGTACTGGCACAAAAATAGACACATAGACCAACAGAACAGAATAGAGAACACAGAAATAAAGCTACACAACTACAAACAACTGATCTTAAAAAAAATCAACCAAAGTAAGCAATGGGGAAAAGTCGCTGTTAAATAAATGGTGTTGGGAGAACTGGCTAACCATATGCAGAAGAATTAAATTGAACACCTATTTATCACCATACACAAAAAACAACTCAATATGGATTAAAGACTTAAATGTAAGACCTTGAACTATATAAATCCTGGAAGAAAACCTAGGAAATACACTTCTGGACATTGTCCTAGGCAAAGAGTTTATGACTAAGTCCTCAAAAGCAATTTCAACAAAAACAAAAATTGACAAGTGAGATCTCATTAAACTAAAGAGTCTGCACAGCAAAAGAAACCATCAACAAAGTAAACAGACAACCTATAGAATGGAAGAAAATATTTGCAAACAATGCATCTGACAACGGACTCATATCCAGAATCTGTAAGGAACTTAAACATATCAACAAGCAAAATACAAATAACCCTATTAAAAAGAGGGCAAATGACACGAACAGACACTTTTCAAAAGAAGACGTATGAGTGACCAACAAACATATGAAAAAATACTCAACATTACTAGTCATCAGAGAAATGCAAATCAAAACCGCAATGAGACACCATCTCACATCAGTCAGAATGGCTATTATTAAAACTTCAAAAAATGACAGATGTTGGTGAAGCTGCAGAGAAAAGGGACTGCAAATACACTGTTGGTAGGAATGCAAATTAGTTCAGCCACTGTAGGAAGCAGTTTGGAGATTTCCCAAATAACTAAAAATATAACTACCATTTGACACAGCAATCCTATTACTGGGTATATACCCAAAGGAAAATAGGTCATTCTACCAAAAAGACCCCCGCACTCATACATTCATCACAGCACTATTCACAATAGCAAAGACAGAATCAACCTAGGTGCCCATCAATCATGGATTTGATAAAGAAAATGCAGCATATGTACACTATGGAGTACTATGCAGCCATTAAAAATAATAAAATCATATCCTTTGCAGCAACATGGATGCAGCTGGAGGCCATTATCCTAAGTGAATTAATGCGGAAACAGAAAACCAAATGTCTCATGTTCTCACTTAGGTGGAAAATAAACCTTGAGTACACGTGGACATAAAGATGGAAAAAACAAACACTAGGGACTCCAAAAGGAGAGGAGGAGAGAGGCGGCAAGGGCTGAAAAGCTTCCTATTGGATGCTGTGTTTATTATCTGGATAACAGGATCAATAGAAGCCCAAACCTCAGCACCACACAAATATCCTGTAACAAACCTGCACACGTATCCCCTGAATCTAAAATTTAAAAAATTATAATTAAAAATCCCTTATGGGATTCGGTAAAAGTGATGCTAGGAAAAAACGTGTAGATTTCAATGCTTACATTAAAAAAGAAGAAAAATCTCAAATTCACAAACTAACTTTATGCCTTAGGAAACTATGAAAAGAAGAATAAACTAAAACCAAAGCTGTCAAAAGGAACATAATTAATAAATAATAAAGATTAGAGCAGAAATTTTTTAAAAAGAGAGTAGAAAAATAGAGAAAATTAACAAAATTAAATGTTGATTATTCAAAAAAAACAACATTGAGAAAACTTTAGCTACATTATCTAAGGAAAAAAGAGAGAAGATTCGAATAACTAAAGTCAGAAATAAAAGTGGGGACATTACCATCAATTTTACAGAAATAAAAATGATTAAAAGAGAATACGATGAATAATTATACACCAACAAACTGGATAAAGTAGTAAATTTAAAAATTCCTATAAAACATAAAATCTATCACAATTGACTCAGGGAGACATAGAAAATCTGATCAGATGTATAACTAGGAAGGAGATTGAATCGCTTATCAAAAACCTCCAAGAAAGAAAAGCCCAGGAATGCGCCCACCGTGTCCATGGGGACAGGCTGAGGCGGCCGGGCTCCGAGGCACCAGGGCTCCAGGACGGCGAAGATGTCAGCTTCCTTAGTCTGGGCAACTAAAAAAACTAAAAAACTAGAAAAACTAGGAAAACTAAAAAAACTAGAAAGAGGAAACTGCAGCCCAACGGGGCTGCCTTCACCCTGACACCCTCAGCAGTAAACAAGATAAAACAACTTCTTAAAGATAAGCCTGAGCATGTAGGTGTAAACGCTGGTGTCTGAATCAGGGGCTGTAATGGCCTTTCTTATACTGTAGAATATACAAAGACAAAAGGAGATTCTGATGAAGAAGTTATTCAAGATGGAGTCAGAGTATTCATCGAAAAGAAAGCCCAGCTAACACTTTTAGGAACAGAAATGGACTATGTTGAAGACAAATTATCCAGTGAGTTTTTGTTCAATAACCCAAACATCAAAGGAACTTGTGGCTGTCGAGAAACCTTTAATATTTGAAATCTCAGGACTCTTCTGGCCATAGGCTCCAGGAAAGCTCGTGGAAGCCTTGGGGCTCACTGAAGAAATCACGTGACTGTCACATGCTTAATGTGCGGCTGCCTTATAAGGAAAATAAAGTGATGCATTTTGAAAATGAAACAAACAAAAAAAAGAAAAACCTAGAAGCAGATGGCTTTACTGGTGAATTCTACTCATTTTTAAAGAAGAATTAATACCAATGCTTCTCAAATTCTTCCCAAAAGTTGAAGAGAAAACACTTCCTAACATTCAATAAAGCCAGCATTACTTTTGATACCAAAGCCAGAAAACAAAATTACAAGAAAACTACAGACCAATATTCCTTATGAATATTGACACAAAAGTGCCTAACAAAGTACTAGCAAACCAAATTTGGCAACATATTAAAAAAAATACGCTATGACCAATGGGGTTTATTCTTGGAATGTAAGAATTGTTCAACATATGACACTAAATCAATGTAATATGCCACATTAATAGCATGAAGAGAAAAAAAACCCCACATGGTCATCTGAATTGATGAAGAAAAACCATTTGACAAAATTCAATACCCATTTATGATTTTTTTAAAATGCCCAAAAAATAAGGAGTAGGAAGAAATTTTCCCAACATAGTAGAGTCCATATATGAAAGTGCACCACCAGTATCATAATCTATGGTGAAAGACTGAAAGCTTTTAGCCTAAGATCAGGAACAAAACACGGGTTCCCATTTTTGGCCGTATGTTCAACACAGTACTGGAAGTTCTAACTGAAGCAATTAGGCAAGAAAAAGAAGGAAGAAAGGAAAGCAGTAATAAAACCACTTCTGTTCACAGTTGACATGATTTTATATGCAGAAGATCATACACACACAAAACCTGTTACAGCTATTAATAACAAGCAAATACAGCAAAGTTTAGGATACAAAATCAGCATGCAAAACTTGGTAACATTTCTATACACTAACAAAGAGCAATTCAAAAAAGAAAATGATTGCATTTACAATAACATCAAAAAATATAAAATAGTCAGGAATAAATTTAACCAAGGAAGCAAAAGACTTGTACACAGAAAATAACAGAACATTGCTACAAGAAATTAAAGAAGACTAAATAAATGGAAAAACATCCTTTGTTCATAGATGATAAGTCTTGACATTATTAAGATGACAATACTAACCAAAGCAATCTCCATTCGTTGCAATTCCTATCAAAATCCTAATAGTGATTTTTGCGAAAATGGAAAAACTCATCCTAAAGTTCATATAAAATCTCAAGGGGCCCCACATAGCCAAAACTATCGAGAAAAAGAAAGAAAATTTGAACTCTCACATTTCCTGATTTCAAAGTATACTACAAAGCTACCACAAAAGCAAAACAATGCAGCACTGGCATAAGGATACATAAATATGTTAATGGAACAGAATATAGAGCCCAGAAATAAATCCTTGCATATTTGGTTGATTGACTTTCAACAAGGGTTTGCAGAGCATTCGCTGGGAAAAGGACAGTGTTTTCAACAAATGGTGTTGGAAAAATTGGATATCCACATGTAAAAGAATCAAGTTGAACCCTTACCTTACACCATTTACAAAAATTAACTCAAACTTGATCAAAGACCTAAAGGTAAGAGCTAAGACTATAAAACTCTTAGGAAACATCAGGGAAAAGCTTTATGGCTTGGATTTGGCAATGATTTCTGAAAAGTACAGGCAACAAAAAGAGAAAATAGATAAATAGAATTTCATCAAAATTAAAAACTTTTGTGCACGCCTGTAATCCCAGCACTTTGGGAGGCCAAGACAGGTGGACTGCTTGAGCCCAGGAGTTGGAGACCAGCCTCGGCAACATTGTGAGACCTCATCTCTACAAAAACAAACAAACAAACAACAACAACAAAAAACCTTTTTTGCCTCAAAGGGTACTGTCAGGAGAGTAAAAAGGCAAACCACAGAATGGGATAAAATATTTGTAAATCTTGTATCGATAAAGAATTAATATCCGGAGGCTGGATGAAGTAGCTCACGCTTGTAATCCCAACACTTTGGGAAGCCGAGGCAGGCAGATCACCTGAGGTCAGGAGTTCGGGGCCAGTCTGGCCAACATGGTGAAACCCCATCTCCACTAAAAATACAAAAATTACCCAGGCATGGTGGCACATGCCTGTAATCCCAGCTACTCGGGAGGCTGAGGCAGGAGAATCGCTTAAACCAGGAGATGGAGGTTGCAGTGAGCCATGATCATGCCACTGCACTCCAGCCTGGGAGACAGAGCAAGACTCCATCTCAAAAAAAAAAAAAAAAAAAAAGGAATTAATATCCAGAATATATTAACTCCTGTATTTCAACAACAAAAACCAAACAACTGGATTGAAAAATGGGTGAACAAGACAAACTGTGGTCCCAGCTACTCAGGAGGATGAGGTGGGAGGATCACTTGAGCCCAGGAGTTCAAGTCCAGCAAGGACAACATAAAAAGACCCCACCTCTTTAAAAAAAAAATTAACTCATTATTTTTAAAATGGGCAAAAGACTGGAGTAGACATTTCTCTGAAGAATATATACAGATGTCCAGCAAGAACATAAAAAGGTGCTGAACATCACTAATCATTAGGGAAATGCATATCAAAACCACAATGAGATACCACGTCACACTTTTTAGGATGACATTCAAAAAAAAAAAAAACCACACAAAATAACAAGTGACAAGTGTTGGTGAGGATGTGGAGAAATTGGAATCTTAGTGGGAATGTAAAACCCTGTTAAATGTAACCCCTGTTCAAAACAGTTTGGTGGCTCCTCAAAAATTTGAACATAGAATTATCACACAGTTCACAATTCTTCTCCTAGGTATATGCCCAAAAGAATTGAAAGCAGGGACTGGAAGAGATATTTGTACATTCATGTTCATAGCAGCCTCGTTTATAATAGTCAAAAGGTGAAAGCAACCCAAGTCCATCAACAGATCAATAGATAAACAAAAATTATGGTGGATGCATACGATGGAACATTATTCAGCCTCCAAAAGGAAAGAAATTCTAACACATGCCACAACATAGATGAACTTTGAGAACATTATGCTAATTGAAATGAGCCAGTCACAAAGGACAAAGACTATATGATTCCATTTATATGAGGTACCTGGAGGAGTCAAATGCAGATAGAAAGTTGAAAGGGGGTTAAGAGGAGGCAGAATGGGGAGTTAGTGTTCAATGGGTACAGAAAGCTGCCTCAGGCTTACTTCACCAGATCATAAAATTTTTAACTTAATTCTACTTGAGTCACCCTCTTCCCACTTGGACGTCCCTGTTCGCAGGGCTGTTCACAGCTGTGGGTCATCGGACCAGGCAGGAGCCTCGTGGTCTGCATGTGTCACGGTGAAGCCCTCCTTCATCCTGCCCACAGGGCCCCTCATAGAGATTTTTCTCTTTCTGTTGCTGCTTGCTTTCCTCTTTCATCTTCCTCATGGAGAACATCTTTCTGGTGTGTGAGAAAAGCCCGCCTCTCTCTCCCTGTTTCTAGTAGAGATGTCTTGTTTACATCCACAAATCCTCTCCCTTTCTGGGGCTTAGGCTTTTGGGAAGTAGGGTTGGGAAGACTTTAAGCCCATCTCTTCTTCCTTCCTCACAGGGGCTACCCTAATGGCGAAGGGCTCTGAGCTCACTCCCTGCTGGAGTCAGGGGAAGTATGGGGGAAAGAAACTTCACGCAAGTCAGAGTCGGAAAATGTTACCAAGCCACAACCAGCCCATTTCACAGAGGAGTGGAGCACAGCCTACCTAGGGAAATGGCGTGCTCAAGGTTGTCAGCTGGCAGGTGTCACCATGCAAGGTTGTTGGTCTCCTGATGCCTAAGCAGGGATCTTTCCACAGCAGCTCCCAGCCTGGGGCTGAGGACAGCCAGCCTGGGACCCACCCTGGTTCCCGTTCCCCCAGCTGGGAGCTTGGGAAAGTGCAGCAACCCCTCTTCCTTCCACGCCCTGCGTCGGCCACCGTCTTACAGCTGTGTGAGCCCTCCCCAGCTAATTTGACACAGCTGCCCCACCGTACCTCCTGGAGCTGGCTGGACATCTGCTTCAGCAACACGAGATTTCTCACTGACTTTACAGAGTGAAAGTCTCTCCAGCTGGGAGTCCCGGGTGTGAAGCTGATCAGCAAGTGACGAATGGGAGCTGAGTCCTGCCTCTGGCTGTGGAGGCTCCTGTTTCGACTTCTCGTTATGGCCAGGATCAGAAGAGTGGGTCCTGGCCAGGCACACTATTCCATGGTTTCATTTCATCTTCCCTCTACAGACAGGCCCCCCTCCCCCCCAAAAAAACCCCTTCCCCCATCATCAGATCCCCCTAGCACACCACACACCACATCTCACATGTGCCCTGCCAACTTCTCCTGTGTTTTATACGTAGCCTGGCACCCATTCCACTGACTTTCCTCTTGCTCATGTTGGGCCTGAGCCTTCTGGGAAGTGGCCTGTCCTTGTTTTCTGGGGCTCTCCAGGGTGGGTTTCTCATGTGCTGGAGTTCAGATGTTACCGCAGCCTGTCCTGGTTCATCTTCCACTTTCCTAGCTTCCCTGCCCCTCGTGACCTGAGCTGGACGCTCCTGTTCCTATAGCAGCCTTGTCAGGGCATCAATTACATCCTCTGGACACATGTTCTAAAATATATTAGTAGAAAATTTGAGGTGTAGTAAGGCAGATGAGGAGACAGCTGCCATTGAACTGAGAGTTTATTGCTCACAGTTCCAAGAGGAGGGAGCATGCCATGACACCCGGGTCCACACGGCAGGCACCAGCATTGGTCAGGAGGCAGAGGGAGCACAGGAAAACAAGGGCAAGAGCATTTAGCAGCTTTCTGCGGGAAGTACCAGAGAAGCTGGGCAGGCAGACTTAGGATTGGCTGGCTTGAATCATTTCAGTATGTGCCAGGTCATAGAGGCTGTCCCTAGTTGTCTGGTACCTGGCCCTAGGTGTTGGATGAGGGCAGGTGGGTGGTAGCCCTGAGTATGATAGCCCAGATAGAGGAGGGGGTAGGGAGTGGGCTTTGAATTGGTTGGTTTGCATGTGAAAGGTGCACTCAGGGGCAAGTCCCTCTAGGGTAAGCAAGGCCCCATTTGTTAAAGCATCAGAAAACAAAAGACATGGTTACTACAGCACAGAAGCCACTTCTGTAGGGTGACACTATTGCCAACGGCTGTGCCAGCTCCGTTAGGTGCCCTGGTCCTTCCTCTTGAACAGGGGCTCTGGAGCCGGGACTGCCTCCTGCACTCTTTCCTGCTTTCAGTTGGAGATGCACTAGCTCTTGGACCATTCCTACCCAGCTCTTCCAAGTGAAAGATGACACTCCTCCCTCCAGGCCCCAGTCACTGGCCACCACAGCTCTCTTCCTTCAGGGAGTTACCTCCCAGGGTGCTCCTCTGCCCGAGGTCACCAGACCCTCTAGGACACAGGTGATCAGCACTGGGTAATTCATAGGCTTACACCAGGGCCACCGCAGCCCAAGGAGTTCATGCTGCATAATATGCAATTTGGGAGTGTGCGTTTAAAATGTAAATTCATACCGTAAACATTTCCCATGTTACTAAGAACCCATAAAAATATTGTACTTATTTGCATAATCGTCCACTGTGAGCATATCCTCATTCCCTGCTGCTGGCCATTGGAGGGGTAAGAGGCTGAGGGACCATCAAGGGGTCCTAGTTCCTGCCTCCCCTCCCTGATGCTACACACACACAGCGACAAGAGCAGAAATGAACGAGGAGGTGCCTGGCAACCATAAAGTCTGATCCTACGAGCACATCTCAGCACATCTCCCTTCCCAAGGATGGCCCTCAGCCAAGAAAGCACGTCCTGGAGTTCGGCAGAATGGGCAAGAGCACAAAGCTATCTTTTGTGACTAGTTTTCTTCCTTGGAAATGACGTTGAGTTCTCTGAATCAATCTCCCAGTGTCCCTTAGCAAGTATTATTACTCCCATGAAAAATAGGTATTTTGTTATTTTTTTGTGTCCTTTCATGTGCTGGGCACTCTGCTAGGCATGCACTAGCTGCATCCTGTTGAAGGGAGTCTATGTTTTACAGGTAGGTAAACTGAGGTACCAGAAATAAAACCAGCTTAGTGGGAGTCAAGCAGAACATCCACCAAGACCCATAACCTCATTGTCCTTGGTTCACTCAACGGTGAGGAGACTGCTGCTCTTGGAGGGTCTTGACCTATAGGCAAGGCCACCTGGAATTAATTTGATTGTGAGGAGGATTTGACAGAGCTGGAAAAGCTCATTGAATATTTGACTGAACAAGACATGCAAACTTTTGCTTGTTAAATCCTGCAAATAATTTCTAATGTACATCAGATTCATATTGTGGGAGGTTAATGTGGAAAGGGGAATGCAGAAAGAAGGAAGAGAGATTCAGAGCCAGAAAAGGATCTGAGTGAGACAGAGTGAAGAGTGGAGACAGCAGGAGAGCGTGGGCAGAGGCAGCCTTGAAAAGGAAGGCCCACCGGGTCCGGTGGCTCACTTCTGCAATTCCAGCACTTTGAGAGGCTGAGGTGGGAGATCACTTGAGCCTAGGAGTTTGAGACCAGGTTAAGCAACACAGGGATACCTCACCTCTACAAAAAATGCAAAAATTAGCCAGTCTTGGTGGCACACACCGGAAGTCTCAGCTACTTGGGAGGCTAAGGTGGGAGAATCATTTGGGTCCAAGGGGTTGAGGCTGCAGTGAGCCATGGTTGTTCTAGTGCACTCCGGCCTGGGTGACACAATGAGACCCTGTCTTAAAAAAAAAAAAAGAAAAAGAAAAAGAAAAGGAAGGCCCTGTTCTGAGCCCCTCGCTGCTACTTGCTTTGTTGGCTTTGGGAACGTCTTTCTCAGCTCTATGAGATGCTAAGTGGACAATTAATAATTATTCAATTGTATTCATCAGCACATGGAATATTCTCCAATATAGACCATATGATAAGCCACAAAACAAGTCTCAATAAATTTAAGAAAATCGAAATTATTTCAAGTACTCTCTCAGACCACCGTGGAATAAAATTGGAAATCAACTCCAAAAGGAAAACCCTCAAAACAATCCAAATACAAGAAAATTAAACAAGCTGTTCCTGAATGATCATTGAGTCAACAATGAAATCAAGAAGGAAATTTAAAAACTCTTTGAACTGAGCAATAACAGTGACACAATCTATCAAAACCTCTGGGATACAGCAAAAGCAGTGCTAAGAGGAAAGCTCATAGCATTAAATGCCTACATCCAAAAGTCTGAAAGAACACAATAGACAATCTAAGCTCACACCTGAAGGAACTAGAGAAACAAGAATAAGCCAAACCCAAACCCAGCAGAAGAAAAAAAATAATAAAGATCGGTGCATAACTACATGAAATTGAAACAAAAAAATTCAAAAGATAAATGAAACAAAAAGCTGGTTCTTTGAAAAGTTAAACAAAATTGGCAGACCAACAGTAAGATTAACCAAGAAAAGAAGAGAGAAGATCCAAATAAGCTCCATTAGAAATGAAATGGGAGATATTACAACGGATAACACAGAAATACAAAAGATCATTCAAGGCCACTATGAATACCTTTATGCACACAAACTAAAAAATCTAAAGGAGATGGATAAATCCTGGAAATATATAACTCTCCTAGATTAAACCACGAAGAAACAGAAACTCTTAACAGACCAATAACAAGCAGTGAGATTGAAATGGTAATTAAAAAAAAAAAACTGCCAACAAAAAAAAGCCCAGGACCACGTGGATTCACCACTGAATTCTATTAGACATGCAAAGAAGAATTGATACCAATCCTGTTGACACTGTTCCAAAAGATAGAGAAAGAGGGAATCCTCCCTAAATCATTCTATGAAGCCAGTATCACCCTAATACCAAAACCAGGAAAGCACACAACAAAAAAGAAAACTACGGACCAATATTCCTGATGAACATAGACGCAAAAATCCTCAACAAAATACTAGCTAACCAAAAAAGCCATCTATGACAAACCCACAGCCAACATTATACTAAATGGGACAAAGTTGAAAGGATTCTCCCTGAGAACTGGAACAAGACAAGGATGCTCACTTCCACTACGTCTATTCAACATAATCCTGGAAGTCCTAGCCAGAGCAATCAGACAAGAGAAAGAAATAAAGGGTATCCAAACTGGTAAAGAGAAAATCAAACTGTCGCTGTTCGCTGATATGATTGTATACCTAGGAAACCCTAACGACTCAGCCAAATAGCTCCTAGAACTGACAAATGCATTCATTAAAGTTTCAGGATACAAAACTAATGTACATAAATCAGTAGTACTGCTATACATCAACAGTGACTAAGCTGAGAATCAAATTAAGAACTCAACTCCTTTTACAATAGCTGCAAAAAAATAAAATAAAATATTTAGGAATATCCCTAAGCAAAGAGGTAAAAGACCTCTATGAGGAAAACTACAAAATACTACTGAAGGAAATCATAAATGACACAAACAAATGGAAACACATCTCACACTCATGGATGGGTAAAATCAATATGGTGCAAATGACCTTATTGCCAAAAGCAATCTACAAGTTCAGTGCAACTCTCATCAAAATACCATCATTGTTCTTCACAGAACTAGAAAAAAAAATCCTAAAATTCATGTGAAACCAAAAAAAGAGTCCATATAGCCCAAACAAGACTAAGCAAAAAGAACAAATCTGGAGGCATCACATTACCTGACTTCAAACTATACTACAAGACTTTAGTCACCAAAACAGCATGGTACTGGCATTAAAATAGGCACATAGACCAATGAAACAGAACAGAGAACCCAGAAATAAAGCCAAATACTTACAAGTAGCTGATCTTTCACAAAGCGAACAAAAATGTAAAGTGGGGAAAGGACATCCTGTTCAACAAATGGTGCTGGGATAATTGGCAAGCCACATATAGGAGAATAAGGTGAGATCCTCGTCTCTCACCTTACACAAAAATCAACTCAAGATGGATCAAAGACTCAAATCTAAGAACTGAAACCAAAAATATTCTAGAAGATAACATCAGAAAACCCGTTCTAGACTTTGGCTTAGGCAAAGATTTCATGACCAAGAACCCCAAAGGAAATGCAACAAAAACAAAGATAAATAGGTGGGACTTAATTAAACTAAAAAGAGTCTGCACAGCAAAAGAAATAACCAGCAGATTAAATAGACAACCCACAGAGTGGAAGAAAATCTTTGCAAACTATGTATCCAACAAAGAACGAATATCCAGAATCTACAAGAAATTCAAACAAACCGGCAAGAAAAAAAAAATCCCATCAAAATGGGCTAAGTACATGAATGGACAATTCTCAAAAGAAGATATACAAATGGCCGACAAACACATGAAAAAAGGTTCAACATCAATAATTATCAGGGAAATGTAAATCAAAACCACAGTGTGATACCACCTTACTCCTTCAAGAATGGCCACAATTTAAAAATAAAAAATAATAGATGTTGGCATGAATGTGGTGAAAAGGGAACATTTTTACCCTGCTGATGGGAATGTAAACTGGTACAACCACTGTGGAAAACAGTGTGCAGATTCCTTAAAGAACTAAAAGTAGGTCCACCATTTGATCCAGCAATCCTACTACTGGGTTTACCCAGAGGAAAAGAAGTCATTATATGAAAAAACACTTGAACATGCATGTTTATAGCAGCACAATTCACAATTGCAAAAATATGGAACCAGCCCAAGTGCCCATCAATCAACAAGTGAATAAAGAAAATGTGTATGTATATATATCGATATATATATATATATACACACCATAGAATACTACTCAACCATAAAAAGGAATGAAATAATGGCATTTGCAGCAACCTGGATGGAACTGGAGACCATTATTCTAAGTGAAGTAACTCAGGAATGGAAAATCAACTATCATATGTTCTTACTTATAAGTGGGAGCTAGGCTATGAGGATGCAAAGACATAAGAATGATACAATGGACTTTGGGGACTTGGTGGGGGAAGGGTGGGAGGGGGGTGAGGGATAAAAGACTACCCATTGGGTACAGTGTACACTGCTCAGGTGATGGGTGCACCGAAGTTGCGGAAATCACCACTAAATAATCTATCCATGTAACCAAACACCATCTGTTCCTCAAAAACCTACTGAAATAAAAATAAAAAATATTCAGAATTCTTCCAGTGCTCTCTGTTATTCGGGAAGTCAAAGGCTGTCAAAGTCAACTCAAAGGGGATGGCCTCAGCTGATGCCAGGGAAGAAGCTGACTTTTGGACAGGGGCTGACAGAGCAAGCCAAGGCCAGCTCTGAAGTACAAGCTGGATCAAGTTCTTCAGCCTTGGAGGGTGTCAGAATCACCTTGAACCTTCTGAAAACTCAGATGCTTGGGTCTCCTACAGACCTGTTGAATCAAAAATTCTGGTGTCAAGGTCCAGACAGCTGCAGTTTTGTGAATTTCACCAGGGGATTATCCCCAGACACCTAGAGACTGGCCATAGGGCTGGAGACTCACTACATTTTCCCCCCAAAAAATCTTCTCTCCCACATTGCTTCTTCTTAGTCATTGAAGTTCACTCCATGTCATATAACCAGTGTGCTTTTTCTGAACAAATTTTCTCTTCAACAGAAGTACTCATCCAGCCCACGGTCTTCCCCTCTGAGAAAGACCCTCAAGGGACCAGCTCTTTGTCATTCAGGGCTATCAGATCTCTCTCCTGCCTTCCTCCAAGTTCAAGGCCAATTCCTTTTTCAATGACTTTCTTGTCTCAGCTCAGCATATTCTTTCACCATGTTATTAGTAATTTTATAGCTAATTTTATAGCAGGTCTTGAGATCAAACCTGATTGGGTCCTTTCATCTATTACCCTGACTCCCGCTCCTGGACCCTGAGTCTCCTGCACATTCTGCATCTCCACTACCCTTATGGAAGAAGTCATATTGGAATCAATTGTCTAAAAACCAGCAGAGTGTGTAACCATCACTTAGGGTGATTTGAGGGCTTGAAAAGCCTACCACTGATGTTGAGTTCAGGCTCTAAGAAGCCCTACACAAATATAAATGTAGAAACTTAACAATACATGGAGTTTGACTAGTTTTCTCCAGGTGCAAGAGCCTACTCACATGAGCATCTCAATGATCCAGGGTATTATGATGGAGAAGATGGGAACGTGAAGTCAGACATATGGATCTGATGCCTGCCTCAGCCCTTTATGAATTGTGTGGACCTGGGCAGGCCATTCAACCCCTCCCAGCTTCCATTTCCACATTTTTGAAATGCTACAAAAACAATGTCTAAATCAAATACTATTCTTACGACTAAATCCTTTGATCTCTATAAACATAATCAGTTGCTACCTTGGCTGAGAGGGCACCTCTCACAGTGGATGGTCAGGGAGGATATTATTTCAGACCAAGTCAGTGGTGATCCCTTAGGGCAATAGAATTGGAAGGACAGTTACCCTCTGACCCATGACCATGAGGAGTTGGGATTCAGAGAAGGGAGCTGGGAGGTCAGTCGTGTCCTTATAGAAACAGAGACCACCAGTAGATCCCACAGGGTTCCGGGCCCAGTGAGGTAGCAGAGGAAGGTTGATACAGAGAGGAAGGAAAAGAGTGAAATTGCATCCAGGTCAAATTTCACCTTTCTCACAATGTGGTCTGGGGGAGGCTAGCATCTGTGATAACAGAAAAACTTTTCCAAATGCTGATGGCTTCTGGCTGGACATCAAACTTGACAAGGGCATGGATAGATGGTATTTTTATCATTTGTCATCTTGCTGCTCACTACTAGCAAATCATGTGGCACATAGTGGATTCATTGAGTAAATGAACGAATAAATAAATAGATCAATAAGAAAAGATCTCACCAAGGTTACTTTCCTTTTCTCTTTCCTCCCCAAATTAAACAAAATGTGAAAGTAAATTTGATGTGGACCCAGAAGTAGGAGAGACAGTATATTCAGTATTTTTAATGTGTTGAAGGTGCCGAGGTTTCCCTGTGTAACCAAAACACAGGTTCAGTCGCTTGCCCCTTGCAGAGTCCAGTGAACAAGAACAAGCTCTGGTACAAAGAAGGTGATTTTTTATTCCAAAACTAGCTTAGGGGAAGAAGTACAGGCTTCCCTGCCTTAAGAGTACCACTTCAAATTTGGAGCAGAAAGTGGGCACTTTTGGCCAAGCGTGGTGGCTCACGCCTATAATCCCAGCACTTCGGGAGGCCAAGGTGGGTGGATCACCTGAGGTCAGGAGTTCGAGACCAGCCTGGCCAACATGGCGAAACCCTGTCTCTAATAAAAAATACAAAAAATTAGCTGAGCATGGTGGTGCGTGCCTGTAATCCCAGCTACTCAGGAGGCTGAGGCAGGAGAATCACTTGAACCCAGGAGGTGGAGGCTGCAGTAAGCCGAGATCTTTTCTCCAGCTTGGGCAACAGAGTGAGACTCTGTCTCAAAAAAATAAATAAATAAAATAAAAAGAAAGTGGGCACTTTCAAAAGGGGACCTGGCATGAATGACATGCAGGGCAGGAAGTGAACAGGTAGGGGTCCACATACTACCTTCAGTGCCTTATCTACCAGGTGGTCAAGTTGGTGTCTTGGTGGGTAGAGCTAGGTTATAAAGGTGGCCAAAACTCTCCAGGTGGGAGAGGGTTTTGTAGCAGGTATACCTTGAGTTGTAAATTGACTGTTGTCCTCAAGGCAGTCTTCTGGTGGGAGACAATCCCCCTCTAGAGCTTCTAAGCACATAGATGAACTCACCCTGTAGGGAGTGTCTGGTGAAGGGGAGGTAGAAAGTTATAATTGCATTTCTGAAGGGCTAAGTAGGAAGTGGGGAGCAGGGAGAAATAGAGAAAAGAGAAAAGAAGAGAAATAATAATAATAACAACTCATTCACTATCTCTTAGAAAAAGGGGGTTACTCAGTTACACCTACACATCTATTTCGAGATTTCTTCTTCAGCAAAGCATTCCCTGACCACACGCCAGGCTCTGCCTTAACTGAATGTTTCTCTGGCTGGTGGGACCCGAGGACCCCACCTCTTCCAAACACCCTACCTATGTGGAGATGCCTCCTGGGGACTCCAGCTTTGTCTTCACAGCGGGGCATCCTTTGGCTGGTGCTAGGGGAGTAGGTGCCAGGGCAGGTAGAGTAGGTGATTTTTACTGCAGAAGGGCAGGCAGGCACTGAAAATGAAGGAAGACCTTCCAAGCATGGTTCCTACAGCAGCAGAGGCTGTTTTTCTAGATATCACAGTGATATTCTCATGTAATCTGATGATAACTGAAATGAGTGACTGAAGCAAAAGTCTCAGTCAATCAAGGTTTATTAAGCCAGCTGGAGGGAGCATCCAGGGAAAACACTGACACATCTGTGGCTGTTTTTTTCTAAAAAGGTTTTCAGAAGGTTTAGTCTTTGTACATTTCCTTAAAGGGGGGAAGGCAGGTAGGAAGACAGGCAGGTAGGCAGTAAGGTAAATGGTCACATTCTTGTAAGACTTTAATTAGTGCTCACTAAATCTATATTTTACATAAGATAAAGGGAATGTTTGAAGAGAAAAAAGGGAGTAAATGAAGAACTGATTATGCAGACTTCTCTGGGTAGGTGGAGGAATGACTGGTCTCATCTTGTCTATGTTCTGCACCTGGGAAGATAAGCTTGTAACTCACATTATCAATACAGAATGAACTGACTAGTTTTTGGCGCTAGCCTTAGACTGTAGATCCAAAGTTACAATTGACATGTGCTTATTTATAGGAGGCTAGCAAAGAATTTACTTATGAATGGTCTGTGGGGTAGTCCTTTGTAGATGTCTGAGGACTTTTACCTTCCAGAGGGGAACCACATAATGCTGGTAACAGCTCTTCATTTGGAAGGGAGTGTTATGTGACTCCGTCTCCAGGCTTAACCTTCCCTTTTGCATAAGGACTTCGGGGGTCCTGAGAGTTTTTTATTTTCCTTTACACCAAATTATACCAACAAACACAAGGGCTGACGAAAGAGGATTCAGCTGCATAGTGGGTTCCAGAGCCAACTATTAAGAGATAAAAGGACATTAGGTTAAATAAAAATTCAAATCAAAAAGTGAGGTCTCAAGGCTTTTGGTTTTGGGTTGTTTTTTGTTTTGTTTTGTTTTGTTTTGTTTTGTTTAGGGGACAAAAGAATCTTGTGAAAGTGTTCTAAGCAAGGAGTTAGGAGACCTCAAGTCTAAGATGAGCCAGGGGCATCAAGTAAGCTGGTAACAGCACCTTGCCTTATAGGCCAGCAGGCCTTGGTCTTACGTTATGGGTCACATAGCCTTAGTGTTATGGGTCACAGAACGCCCTAAGAGTAACCTGATGAAAATGATGGGCCAGGCAACTGAGGAAGCTGCACATCAGCACCCACTGAGTTGTTGCAAACTATTTTTTAATTGCATTGGAAATGTGTTCAGTCATATAGGCAGAATGTAAAATCAACCTAGAGAACGTAACAGGATATTACACGAGGACTTTTCCGGTTGTGTTAGGATCTTTGCTGAAAAGAACTCTTAACAAGCACCTGCACATTCTAAAGGAACATATTTGAAATAATTGCTAAATGGTGCTAAAAGGTGGCCAAATACTAGTTCTTTGAATTTTAACCAATCACACACCTCTAGGCTACATAATGGAAAAATGAACTCATTAAAGGGATGCGAAGATGCCTTTAAGGAAAGCTGGAGTGTCGGTTGGGTATATTACTACTGCCTCTGGGAGGAAGCCACCCTCCTCTCCACCCCTACCAAGCCTAATAACCAGTCCCAGAACAGGGGAGTCAAGGCTGCCCTCTCACCTGTGGATGTAGTTCAGGGGTCAAACCAGGAGAGGAAATGGAAGTGAGAATCAAGGGCATCCAAGTGAAACAGAGAAAGGAAAAACCACTCGATGGATCCCTGAGAGTGCTGGTCCAGCCTCCGTCCTCACCTGCTGGAATCCCACCTGCCTTTCGAGGCCCAGCTCCATCTGCCATTCTGGAAGCCTCCCACAGCTGCCAACTTCAACGGTGATCTCTTGACCCCCTTACAGCACACTTGGCCATTATGGGCCCTCGGATGCTGCCCAGGTATCATGGCAGCAGCACTCCCTGGGTCATAAGTGGCCTCTGCCACATGCATCTTTCACTCCATCCCCAGCCCCAGAGAAGACAAGCATCTCACCTCTTCCCCCTCAGCACCTTGCCAGAGGTGCTCAGAAAACAATTCATGAGTGATTACACAGCTAGTTAGGTACAATTCTGCAGGCCATTTGTCTAAACTCAGTCCCAGGCTGTTGAAGTTACTCCAACCTGGATACTGGATACCCCTAATTCTCCTAAAGTTTCCAGCTGGGTCCTGAAAGCTACAAGATACCTATCTTTCTCAAACATATTGTCCCCAGGCTGGGTCACCCAGTGGAAAGGCCAAAAACATGCTTAGGGCAATAGCAAGATAGGGAGCCCAACACTTTTTTTATGTGATGATTTACATAGGCATCATGAGAAAAACGCCTTCTTAAACATATGGCTTAGTGTCGGATCTGCTTTTAGTCGCACATGGGTGACCGAGGTGGGATGTGCCAGGTCTTTTCATGCTTGGGGCTCCTACTCTGCTGGCACCGACCCACGCCGTCTAAGATTGTGGCTTTTAAAGGTTCTGTGGCTTTTAAAGCACTTCCTGTGCAGGTCTGCTCCGCAGCTCCAGGCGCTACACCTTCTCAACCCACAGGTCAGGGAATAGAGGCCCAGAGAGGGTCAGGGATCCTAGTCCGGGGTTGGTGAGCCCCCTGGGTAGGGGATTTATTCAAGGGCTGGGGCAGATGCTGTGGATGAGGCTTCCCCACTCCCTGCTGTGCAAGGAGATCCTGTTGTTGGCATTGCCAGCACACCGCCAGCACTTGATCCTCTGGCTCAGAGCCCATTTACCTGAGCAACTTGCCGCAGTGCTCTGAGGTTCCATTTCCTCCATTACAAAACATAGCTAATAGTATCATATCTCTCTGGCCTAATACCAGAACTTTAATTAGGCTTAAATGAAACATAGGAGAAAACAACTCAACCAGGACCTAGCATGCTCCTTCAGGTTTTTGTTAAGGTTGGGGCCCTGGGGGACAGGAGGCCCCATCCTGGAGCAGGAACAGGAAAGTGTGACCGACTCTCCTTGACACCCTGAGTGGCAGATCCAGAGCGCTGTCACCAGGAACAAGGGGAAGCTCACCAGCGGGAGCCTCCCAGCCCTCCGCTGCAGTGTCTTCCGGGCTGCTAATGGGTTTCACGTGTGCAGAGGCCAATGCCTCAGTCCTGGGGATGGGGTCTGGGACAGCTCCTGTGGCTGTCTCCTCAGCCGTGAGCAGCCGCATCCTTTTACAAATAATGAATGCCGTTTTCCATAGCTGCCACGATGCAAGAAAAACTGAAAAAACAACCCGGGTGAGAGGACAGTCTGTGCTGCTGGGCAGAGGCCAAAACCTGAAAACAAAGCAGAAACTCAGACCACAGGTTGGCATTCTGTGAGATTCAGAGGACCTGGGTTGAGGAAGGAGTGTCTCCATGGTCACAGCACAAACGTCACTTAGGAAAATTTACACTCCTCTTCCCACCCAGGGGCCTCATTAAACCACCCACCGAGACATCCCCAAAATATGATTTGAAATGAGCAAAGGATAGTTTCTTATTTTTACGCACATTGTTATAAATGTAGCATCTTTTTTTAAAATGTGCTGTTTTATTGCTGTGTTACAGGGATTTGCAAACTTTTCCTGTAAAGGACCTGATTGTAAGTATTTTAGACCTTTGCGATCACACATACAGCCTCTGTTTCAACTACTCCGCTCTGCCGCTACAATGCGAAAGAAGTCTTAGGCAATAGAAAGGGCATAGAAGCGTTCCAACAATACCTCATTTACGAAAACAGGTAGGGGGACAGATTTATCCCACTGGCCAGTTTGTCACCCTCATGCTCTGTGATATGCCTTCTAAATAAAACCATTGTGTTTGTGCTGCAAATACAATTATAGGACAATTTCTCTTTCAACCAAACTCCTGCCTTCAAGCCCCTTCTATGTAAAAACCCTGGAACCACCCTTGGTCCTGCAGAACATTCCCGATACCAGCTGAGGTTTCTGTGCACCAACTCAGGCGGCCTCCCTGGCCAGAGACAGGAGGAGCCAGGAATTCTGAGTTAGTCCTGAAGACAGCCAGAGATCAGAGAGGTCAGTGCTCTTGGCTATTCACATAGGAAGTTGGTTTTCTGTTCTTTTCCAGAGAACTGCACAGATAATACACAGATCGATGCCAAGTAAAACAAGAAGGAAAAGCTGGCTCTGTCCAGGAAAGAGCTGACAACAAACGTGTCCTGACTGGGAAACGCTTTCTGCTGCTTCCTCCCTGCTGCCCGGCAGTGAGGGGAGAGGTGGGACTGGGGCCATCGGGCCCTCACGTGCCGGGCAGGGCTGCTGTGCTCAGCAGAGGATGTCTGTACAATCTCATTTCCTTGAGATTTTCAAGAAAAGGTGAGGTTTTCACTGCTTAGAATGAGGGATAGAGACAAGATTTCTTGAAGAACAGGAAGGGCAAGACTTCTTACAGTTTTTCCCAGTGCTACTATGATAATCATCATGGCCTGATGAAGGTTAGAGTTCTAATTTATTAATAGTTTCCTAAGTGCCAGGCACTGGACTAAATGTATAATCTCCACTTTACAGAGACAGAAGCAAAGATTTGAGATAGCCTGTCTAAAATCTCACTGTAAGTGGAAGAGCTGGAGTTTGAACCCAGATAAACAGAATGCACAGGATGTGTGTGTGTCTGTGTGTTTGTGTGTGTGTGTATGTGTATGTGTGTGTGCTATGTTTGTGTGTTTCTGTGTATGTGTTTGTGTGTATGTGTATATGTGTGTGCATGTGTGTGTGTGTGTATGTGTGGGTTTGTGTGTATGTGTATGTGTGTGTTTGTGTGTCTGTGTGTTTCTGTGTGTGTGTGTGTGTGTGCATAAAGAGAGAGAGGGAGAGAAACTTTATTTTAAGGAATGGGTTTACAGGACTGTAGAGGCCAGGGTGATCTAAAGTCTGTAGGGCAGGTGGACAGGCAGGAAACCCAGGGAAGAGTTTCAGTTCAAAACTGAAGACCGTTTGCTGGAGGAATTCCATATTCCTTGGGAAATTTCAGTCTTTTTCTCTTAAGGTGTTCAACTGTTTGGATGAGGCCCACCCGTGTTATGGAGGCTAATCTGCTGTCCTTAAAGTCTACTGATTTAAATGTTGATCTCATTTAAAACACCTTCACAGAAAAATTTATAATATTTGACCTGTCCAGGCGTGGCGGCTCACGTCTGTAATCCCAGCACACTGGGAGGCTGAGGTGGGAAAATCGCTTGAGCCCAGGAGGTTGAGACCAGCCTGGGTGACATAGTGAAACCTCGTCTTTACCAAAAATACAAAAATTAGCTGGGTGTGGTGATACACGTGCCTGTGGTCCCACCTACTTGGAAGGCTGAGGTGGGAGGATCCCTGGAGCCTGGGAGGTCCAGACTGCAGTGAGCCATGATCACACCACTGCACTCCAGCCTGAGTAACATAGCAAAACCCTGTCTCAAAAAAAATTAAAATTAAAAATTAAAATTTAATGCTGTATTAAAATAATAATAATAATAGTTGACAAACTATCTGGATACCATGGCCCAGACAAGTTGACTTATAAAATTAACCATCACAGGTCCCATAGGCAGCATCTGCATCACCAATGGAGCCTGTTCAAAACACAGAAGCTGAGTGCAGTGGCAGGCACCTGTAATCCCAGCTACACAGGAAGCTGAGGCAGGACGATCACTTGAGGCCAGGAATCCAAGATCAGCCTGGGCAACATAGCAGAACCTCGTCTGGAAAAAAATTTAAGTATATGGAAGGATGTTTGTGGGTTATATGAAAAAGAAAGAAAGAAGATAGAGAAGGAAGGAAGGAAGGAAGGAAGGAAGGAAGGAAGGAAGGAAGGAAGGAAGGAACGAAGGAAAGAAGGAAGGGAGGAAGGAAAAAAGGGAGGAAGGAAGGAAGGAAAGAAGGAAGGAAGGAAAAAAAGTATAAAAGGAAGGCTTTGTCCTGGATCAGTGGCTTTCAAGTCCTCTTTTCCTCCCACCAGTGGGATCCTTTTTAGTAAGTGAAATAATTGCACACAACCCCCAAACACATAACAGATAAGAAAGAAATACTCTGGCAGCAAAGGGGAGGTGGGGTGGACAACCTTGACCAGCCTTGTCTAGGGTGTCCCTTTCCTTCCCTTGCACCTGCAGGCGGCTCCTGAACACAAGGCTGGGTAGAGCACTTGAGCACTGCTGCACAGGGGAGGAGCTGAGGTCTCTTTCAGCTCCTACGTTCTGAGCCTTCATCTAAGAGGCCTGGCCCTTCAGTGGCAGCCTGGGGAGTGGGCAAGCGTGGTCTTCACAATCGCAGTCAGCCCGTATCCCTAGTTGTCCTTCTCACCCTCTGGTTTCCTGTGCAGACAAAGAATCGAAGGGGACAGAGGGCTTTGGGACTCTGGGCTCACTCCAGGCCCACTTTTCCTTCCATTACCCTTTCCTGTGCCCTTTGAAGTGCCCTCTCATCTGTGCCCACCTGAGTAGAGCCCAAGGGAGGAGAACTGAGCCTGACTCCCAGGGGCAGGGGGTTGCTACAACAGGATGGGCAGTGAGAGGTGGGCAGCCTCCCCTAATGTGGCCTGCTAGTGCAGGATGCCCCTGCC
The DNA here is from genome assembly GCF_000001405.40 of Homo sapiens. Lineage (NCBI taxonomy): Eukaryota > Metazoa > Chordata > Mammalia > Primates > Hominidae > Homo > Homo sapiens. The sequence goes on from NC_000001.11 coordinate 229,062,308, forward strand.
AACACATAGGCAGGGCCAGGTGCCAGGACCTCAGCTGATCATCCCAAAGCTCGGGCCAGCAGCTGGCAGCCAGGAGGAGTGTCATAACTCTACTAAGTAATCTGGAACAGAAGCCAAGGGAGTGGCTAGCCCCTCAAATCGGGACCTGCGGGGATGTGGGGCCCTCAGACGCAGACACTGGCATGCAGGAGCACTGGGAAGGGGCCCAAGCCCAGAACTCCCGTGGAAAGCGGGGTCCGAGTTGAGCTGGGAGGGAGGGAGTGGCTGGCTGTGCTTGTCTCCATTCTCTCATTCTTTCCTTCAATAGGGGGTCAGCAGGGCACACAGCTTCCCAGCTGGAGACCAGCACTCCCAGTCTCCCTGGGGGCTGCGTGTGGCATTGTCTGAGTTCCAGCTGATGGGATCTGAGCAGAAGTAGACCAGGACAGCTCCTAGGTACCATCTCTTACAAAGGAAGGGGGCATCCTCTACTCCCCCTGTGCTTCCCATGGGCTGCAGGTGCAGATGTGAGCCACCCAGGGGATGACAGAGCATCAAGAGGGGAGGAGCTGGGGTCTTGGGATGGCCTCATGCATCCAGCCAACCTGCCAGGACCGCCCTGC